>NT_187559.1:0-158166 GCF_000001405.40 Homo sapiens
ATTTCAAATACGATGGATTCATTCAACAAATTATTGAGTACATACCACGTCCATGCTCTGCTAAATGCTGAGGATATGGCAATGAAAAAGAGAGAGATTCTGACTACTAGCTCTTGGGAGCAAAACATTTAATATGTTATGACACAGGTTACATAGGGTAGAAGTATTTTTTTTTTTTTCAAGATGGAGTCTTGCTCTGTCACCCAGGCTGGAGTGCAGTGGCGCGATCTCAGCTCTCTGCAACCTCCGTCTCCCAGGTTCAAGCAATTCTCCTGCCTCAGCCTCCTGAGTAGCTGGCATTACAGGCATGTGCCACCATGCTCAGCTAAATTTTTGTATTTTTAGTAGAGATGGAGTTTCACCATGTTGGCCAGGCTGGTCTCGAACTCCTGACCTCATGATCCACCCGCCTCGGCCTCCCAAAGTACTGGGGATTACAGGCGTGAGCCACCACGCCCAGCCAGGGCAGAAGTACTTTTATCCATTGCTCTTGGGTTAATTTTTAAAAATCAGTTAGATAAAGGAATCATAAAAATTATACATAAAAGCCTTATATATATTATTTTAAAGCAAACAAATGCATTGTCATTCAACAATGTGCTGACCTAAAGACAAAGGTTTTTCTCTGAGTGTTCCAGACAACTGTTGGTATAAGTTGACTTTCTTATATGTATCATAATTCCTCTTCCAACATTTACAATTTTGGTATCTTGGAAGAGAAGCAATAACTTTTAAGACTCTTGCAAAGTAATAAGAGTTCACATTCTTTCTAGAATTTCAGAATTTTTGATGGAAAATTTTTCTAATACTCTGACCCATATGTCTTAGAAGTAATTTTAAAGTTTGTTTGAAAATTTAATACTTTCATTACATGCATCACATTTGTAGTTCCCAAATACTTCTAGTTGTTTTTAAAATATGTACTTAACCTTTTTTAAGGTACATTTTACAAATTCTGAGGCAATCGTAGCTATTCGAAGTGTGTATTTATATTCTTTCATACTTGTTATGTAGAAACTCTCTTGGTGCTTGCGAATGACCTAGGTGACATTCGTTTAGCTATTTGTCTTGGCATGCATATATCTCAAAGCCTGGGATGCCAGGATCATATGCCAGGATCATACTGCAGGGCTGGGCTGTGGATCTAGTTGGTCAGTCCCAGAATTCTCACAACTCTTATACGTACAATCTTGTTTGTCCCTTGGGCTTCCTTTTGCTCGGTCTGATATATCTGTAGCTGGTTTCTGGACATGGTAGTTAACTGCTCACTACATAATGGTCTCATGAGTTGAGAGAGCTTCAAAAACTGAGAAGCTATGCCAGACACTCAGAAATGGGATCTAGTGAGCCTAGTATTAAAATTACTAAAACAAACTCACCCCTCGTTTTTTAATATGTTTGTTGTAGTAAACAGGATGTAAAGTGGGCATTTTGTTGATTTCAGGCCACCTGTGTGATGTGGACACCACCTCTCCGTGAAAGTTTTTCCTATCCTTTCCTTGTACTTCAGATGTATGTTTTAACTTTGATTCTCAGGTAACTTCGATTTATAAAACAAAGGCAAATAAATTATAATTTAAGTTTCTTAAAATATACTTCAATTCAGCACTTTGGGAGGCCGAGGTGGGTGGATCGCTTGAGATCAGGAGTTCGAGACCAGCCTGGCCAACATGGTGAAACCTCATCTCTACTAAAATACAAAAATTAGCCGGGCATGGTGGTGTGCATCTGCCATCCCAGCTACTTGGGAGGCTGAGGCAGGAGAATTGCTTGAACTCGGGAGGCGGAGGTTTCAGTGAGCCGAGATTGTGCCACTGCACTCCAGCCTGGGCAAGAGAGCAAGACTCCCTCTAAAAAAATGTAAATATATATATTACATATATATACTTCAATCTATGAAGTTGTAATTACCAAATTTAGACCATTTTTTAGTTATTTTAAAAGTAAATTGAGTATAGGGTTAAGAAAATAATTCAAAATTGCTATGTAAAAATTGCTCTCCGTTTAAGAGTGTAGGCTACAGGTTTTAGATAACTACATTATGTTTTAATAAACCAAAAGGTATGTGTTTGTATATAGTTTGCCAAGATTCAAAAGTTTTTGAGAAACAATTACATTTTCTCTTCACAGTTTAAGTTCTCTGACATTGTTTTCTAACCTGTGGTTTTGATAACTGCCATGAAAAAAGTGTTCTGTGTGCAAATGAATTTGGGAAATGCAGAGTTAGATGGATAAGGAGTATATATATTCACATATTTATGAAGCATTTCTGAACAACCAATGTTTCTAACAGGACAACCAGTTTCATTTCAAACTTTTTTTTTTGGATACACTTTTTTTGTAGGGATTACATTTATAAGCATTTTAGATATTTAAGAGGTCTGAGAAATGAACAAAAAACCCCATAAGTGGTAGAATAGTATAAATAACCTTATCAGAGAAATAAGTTTGATAGAATACTAATGAGAACTCTCACTGAATGAAATAATGATCACTATCTCCTCCAAACTCCCAGAGGACCCCATTCTTCACCTACTAGTCCCTGGGAGATTCTGCCTTCTATAAAAATCATTTGTTTGTCTTCCTTGTTTTTTAAAACAGTAAATTTATGAATCTTCCACAATACACAAATTTTTATTTATTTATTTAGAGATGAGGTCTTGCTCTGTCACCCAGGCTGGAGTGCAGTGGCACGATCTGCTCACTGCAACCTCTGCTTCCCAGGTTCAAGCGATTCTCCTGCCTCAGCCTCCCAAGTAGCTGGGATTATAGGTGCACGCCACCATCCCCAGCTAATTTTTGTATTTTTAGTAGAGGCAGGGTTTTACCATGTTGGCCAGGCTGGTCTCGAACTCCTGACCTCAAGTGATCCACCCGCTTCAGCCTCCCTAAGTGCTGGGATTACAGGTGTGAGCCACTGTGCCTGGCCAATTACATGTATTTAAAAGTACCACTGTACTTTTAAACAGGGACCATGCCATATTTATCTCTTTAACCACAGAACACTGCACACGTCCATGCAAATATTTGTGGCACTCAGATAAAGCTAATTGAAGGGTGGTAAATAGTAGTGTACTGGGGTGGCACAAACCTTGAGAATGGAGCAGGCCAACTTCTGATTTCTTACCAACCTGACAAGTATATTCTGGGGTTGAATTTGGATTTAGGAACCTCCTCCTCACTGAGATTTCTATATCTTTGCTCTACACTTTGCCTTCTCTCAAAGATTAGGTGATGGAAGCTGCCCATTCTTCATCACCCCTTGCTACTCATTCCCAGTTTAATTCCTAGAAAGGTGGGTTATTTTTATTTTTTTGAAGTGATATCAGTCTGGTCAGTCAGGGGTTTCATGGAATAAAATGTCTTAATTAGAATATTTAGGGTTGTATCATTGAGGGCATGTGCTATACTCTGTGTCTTAGTCAAAAGTAATTTTTGTTTGAAAAATATAAGATTACAAAGTACATAATGAGTATTTTATGATAAGATTAGTAAGCAATATGAACATTTAGAATTTTGTTTTTGAAAATTTATATATGATTGTACAAAGATTCATCAAAATCCAGTACAGAATTTATAAAAGGAAGAGTTACAGTTTTATTATTTATGTAAAATGTTTGTGTTTCTTTTTTCATATCTAAAAGTTACTGTAATTCTCTGTGGTAAAAGGTATTGGTTCCCAATACATCTCAGTAATGCAGAATGGACAATTTAAACTTCCACATGCTTCAGCTGAATTCTAGAATGATTTTTTAATTTTTTAAGATTCCTTTTCCTTAAATTTTTCCCATAGTTTTTAACTTATTACTTTGTCAGCACTTACATTTCTCTTCAATGTTTTTTGAAGCACAAAAGTGGTGGTATATAAAAGTTGTTGCTACACATACAGGAGAAGCATGTTGAGGTGTGCAGGGACAGCACCACATCCTATTTTCTGACCTCCTTGCTGGAGTAATAAATTTCTAATGTCATGCATATGTAGAGGAAAAAGAGCTTTTGTATTTAAAATATTTAATGGTAAATTACAATGTTAATTTTAAAACTCTAATTTTGATTGCTTCATGCAAGGAATGAAGTATTTCAAGTTCTTTTTAGTATACTTTACAAAGTTAACTATATTTTGTTGTATTATAGTAAAGGTAATGGAATAATGTAGATTTTATCATTTTGCTATTAGTCTTTCTTTTCAGCGACAGCCCATTTTTAGGGTGAAACTTACTGGTATCAATTCTCTCTATTAAGGACCTCAAGCAATGATAGAAGGCCCTTCATTGCACTCTGTCTTTCCAATGTTGCTTTTATGCTTCCCTGGCAATTTGCTCAGTTTATACTTTTTACACAGGTAAGATGATTTTTTAAATTAATTTTTATTTTTATTTTAAGTTCTGGGGTACATGTGCGGGATGTACAGGTTTGTTACGTAGGTAAATGTATGCCATGGTGGTTTTTGCATCTATCAACCCATCACCTAGGTATTAAGCCCAGCATGCATTAGCTGTTTTTCCTAATGTTTTCCCCACCCCATCCCTTGACAGGCCCCAGTGTGTGTTGTTCCTCTCCCTGTGTCCATGTATTCTCATTGTTCAGCTCCCACTTATAAGTGAGAACATGTGGTGTTTGGTTTTCTGTTCCTGTTGCTGAGGATAATGGCCTCCAGCTCCATTCATGTCCCTGCAAAGGACCTGATCTTGTTCCTTTTTATGGCTACGTAGTATTCCATGGTGTATATGTGCCACATTTTCTTTATCCAGTCTTTCACTGATGGGCGTTTGGGTTAATTCCATGTCTTTGCTATTGTGAATAGTGCTGCAGCGAAGACATGGGTGCACATGTCTTTGTAATAGAAGGATTTATATTCCTTTGCATATATTAATTAAATTGAATGCAAGATGTACTTGGTTGTTTCCATAGAAATTTTTAAATATGGTTACATTTACGCCCTAAAAGATTTTCAAAATAGGAAATAAAGTTTACTTAAAGGTATGATTTTTATGAAATAATATAATTCCACATTCTTTTACTATATTGATTAGTTTGACAGATTTTAAGGCTCAACATGTGAAAGAGTTTTTCTATTATTTTTATTCACAAATGTTATTTTTGGTGTTTGAGATAATATCTGTATATATCTACCTAGAGATTTTCCTTTTGTCCTGGGAATCCTTCTGGGTGCCAAGCTACACAGCATGCTAAGGGCCAATCCTACTCTTGACAGCAGGACGTTCTGCTTCTAATCCAGCTAAACGTTGGCTGTTTTATCTGTGGAGCAGAATTTTACCTGGCACCGTTTCTGCGAGCTTTAATCATAAAGCTCATCATTGCTTAAGTGAGCTGAGCCCATATCCTGTTTCTAAAGCAACTACATAACTAGTAACAAGAAACTGAACTGGGGAAGCAGAGAGTAAATGGAGAATTTTGATGACATTTCATGATACTAAGATTTTCCATCAGAGCTCCTTCCTACATAACAAATGCTGATGATAATAATAATATTCTATATTGGAAGTGAGAAATTCTGCCAAGAAGTCTCATGCTGCCAATAGCCTACAAAGAATGAAATTATAACCCCAGCTCAATTGGTGCTGCATATTTAAAGTATTCCCTCTGTTTTACTTCATAATAGTTGGCCCCTTTCAGGTTATAACACAGACATTATTCTATGTTTTTCATTATTTGCACATGCCAACAGAGTGGAATAGATTTTTAATGACCATCATTTCATTGCAAGCAAATTTATTAATCCAGTGATACTGATGAAACTAAGAAGCTCTTTGGGGCCGGGCGCGATGGCTCACGCCTGTAATCCCAGAACTTTGGGAGGCTGAGGCGGGTGGATCACTTGAGGTCAGGAGTTCAAGACCAGCCTGGCCAAGATGGTGAAACCCCATCTCTACTAAAAATACAAAAAAATTAGCCGAGCATGGTGGTGGGCTCCTGTAATCTTGGGAGGCTGAGGCAGAGAATTGCTTGAACCCAGGAGGTGGAGGTTGCAGTGAGCCGAGATCACGCTACTGCACTCCAGCCTGGGTGACAGAGTGAGACTCAGTTTAAAAAAAAAAAAAAAGAAGTTATTGGGTAAGTTTGATATTGCTGTTAATGATTTCCTAGTCATTCTCTGGATATATACTAGGCTTTTATTTTTCTTTACTAATGTGTATAGTTTTTTTTGTATGTGTGTGTTTCATGCTTACAGAGGGATAATTCAATGTTATTTTCTGGGAGTACTTTAAGATTTTATTCTTAATTGTGTTTTTCGTAGATTAAGGTTAAAATTAGTTCATTGTGCAACCACATCTGGTTAATTTTTTAATTTTTTGTAGGGATGAGGTATCACCATCTTGCCCAGGCTGCTCTTGAACTCCTGGGCTCAAGCCGTCCTCCTATCTTGGCCTCCCAAAATGCTGGGATTATAGGCGTGAGCCACCATGCCTGGCCCAATTTTTTTTTTTTATGACTTCTGTGCTCTCCTGGAATTTTCAATCTTATCAGTTATTTCCTTGAACATTTGAAGCATAGTTTGAAGATATATCTGATTATGCCAGAGAAGTGTTTGAGTGATCTCCAAGCTAAGAATAGTTTTTATATATTTAGAGGGTTATAGAACAAAAATAGAAAAAGAATATACAAGAGACTGTATGTGACCAACAAAGCATAACATATTTATTATCTGGCCTTTTATATAATAAATGTGCTGATCCCTGATCTAAATCTTTTGTGGATCTATTTCTATTGTGTTAGTGATAGTGTCTTATCTCCATCTATGCTGGGTTATTTTTGATGTGGTGCTGGACATTATATATGAAAAATTGGAGAGGCGAGTAAAAAGCACTAATAAATCTTGAACCACCTTTATGCAATCAGATTGAGATGATCCGTAGATGCGTTTCAGTCTTTCTGAGGGCTGCTTGATTTCTGGTTCACTATTACAGTATGGCCTTTTGAAACTCCAAACTAAAGCACCCTTCTTGGTGCACTCTGACTGCTGAATCTGCTGAAATGCCTGCTCAGCTTGTTGGTCTTCCAACTGCCTCTCAGCTGGCAGGCATCTGCCTCTGTTGAAATTGGCAGATACCTCTGGGAGAAAAGTGGCCCAAAATGTCATGCTCATTGGTATAGATTGCCATCTATCTTTTTAATTCCTCATTTGCTTTGTTAATAGTCTGTGGCTTTTATACATATTTTAAAAATGTTTTTATTTATATATTTATATTTTTCCTAGCCATTCTAGTTCTTAGTGGGAAGGTTGGTTCAAATTCCTTTGCTTACCATTATTAGAACTGTAGCCCTCCTCTTATATTTACTTTGCCTGTGAATAGTAAAGTGTTAATTTTCTATACTTTTTTTCACTTTTGCTTTTTTATATTATTTCAGATAGCATCATTATTTCCCATGTATGTTGTGGGATACATTGAACCAAGCAAATTTCAGAAGATCATTTATATGAACATGGTAACATTTTTAATATATATAAGTCAAATATTAAGATAGGTTCTCAGAGTTTATAAAATCGAAGTGATTCTGTTTTATAGGGTACTTCCTCTTTGGTAATATTTAATACATATGGTATTGGTGATATCCAGAAGGAAAACTGGAAATGTATATTATAGATGACATATTATAACAGATTATTCTTTCAACTGGACTGTAGATGTGTTTTATTCTCTAGAACTTATATTTTTATGTTTTACTTATTATTATTACTACTTTTAAAACTGCCTTTTCTTTCTCAGACATGAGATTTTTAGCATTTTGCCTGAATATGACACTCTAACTGAAATTTTATATTCTTGCGATTTTGTTTTTGGCTTAGGTCCCAAACATAGCTTCCTTAGAAACATAAAAAGTTAGTAAAGCTCCATAAATAATAGAAGTCCTGAAGTCTAACAAAAATATGATTAGTAAAACTGGTGTTTATAACTAAGTCTTTCTTATTATATTACTCCATTGTTAAAACAATAGAAATCATAGACTTATTTTTCATTGTTCCAAGTAGCAGATGGAGAAAAAGTTAAATTCTGCCAGATAGAGTTTATGGTCTTGAATTTTCATACTTAGAATCTAGCAGTGACTTGAAGTTCTATTATCATTTGGCCAAGGGTCATTCATCTTTATGCAAATAAATTTGCATTAGAAATGGCTATATACCTACAAAATATGCATTATGCCAATATATGTAATGACCATAAAATGTATTTTTTTCATTTTTTTCAGATTTCAGTTACCCTTAGTTTCATTTTGATGTTTGGAAATTCAATGTACTTATCTTCTTATTATTCTTCATCTTTGTTAATGACATGGGTAAGTGTTTAGTTCATAAAGTTGGGTTTTTTTAAACTGCCAAATAGCATGTTTTCCTGTCTAAAACAGGTATAAGAGAATAAATAGGCCCTTTCCTGATTATCACTCAACATGACAAAATTCTTCCCAAGCAAAGCTTTTTATTTATCTTATCCTTGAAAAATATTATAGTAGGAAGTTTTTCTTTTTAAGACAGTGCCCAAGTAAATATTTAAAAATGATCATAAAGTAATAAGACTTACTTTAATCATATCCCATTTTATGGTAAAATTGACTTCTTTTCTCCTAAGTCACTTGAGGAGGTTAAATACTCATTGCAGTGACACTGCCATTGCCCAGAACATTTTTGGAACTCCTCTGAGTTTCCTTCACAGACTATGGCACATTCTTTAGTATGTCTTGCCTTTCAAGAGTGGATTTGATTTTTGGAAATGACCAAAATTTTGTGAATATTTTGTGTGATTGGGCTGGGTAATACAGATCTTGCTCAAACGATGGTGTGACAGTAAAGTCATAAGACTGATTATTTTGCACCTATAACTAAATTATTTCTGAAGGCAGTTTAGAAAGTGTAGTTCCAAACTACTTTGAGCGATGGCAAGATAATTAGAATAAGTGTGCAGTCTCCTCACGGGAACTACATGGAATGACACTCTTTTGGATATGTGTTTGGAAGGGTGGTTTAGTAAGTCAGTTCTATTACATTGTAGTTATACTTCTGATATCTATAAGCCAGAACCTAGAATATTCTCCTGTACCTCCCATCTCCACACTGATCAGAAATGATACCAACTACGGTAATGCCAAAATATAGCACTTTTCCATGTATGGTGCAGTGATTTAATCTTTTGGGATTGCCCTTATGTTTTAACATTTTTGCTTTCCATATCCTTTTTCCCTCATAGTAATCCCTCCTCTTTCTCTCCCAGAAAAAATGCTCTTTCTTTCCAACATTTTGTCAAACTATTTCACCATTACAGAGTAGAGGACTCCTAATAGTGTGCTCATCTACCTCTTTTAATGAAAACTTTTTTTTATTTTGAAATATAGTACAGATAAAACTGCATAAAGCAAATGTTTTGTGTGCTGACTTAGTGCTGGCTAATACTGATGAGTACAATGTCCCCTTCGTGTCTGCAGGGATTGATTCCAGGACACCCCCAACCCCTGTGGATACTAAAATCTGCAGATGTTCAAGTTTCTTATATAAAATGGTGTGTTATTTGCATATAATCTATGCACATCTTCCTATATACTTTAAATCATCTCTAGATTACTTATAACGTCTAATGCAATATAAATACTATGCAAATAGTTGTATACTGTATTGTTTTTTCATTTGTACTTTTTAAACTGTTGTATTATTATTATTTCAAATATTTTCTATCTGCTGTTGGTTGAATCTGCAGCAACTGGAACCCATGGATGTGGAGGGCTGACTGTGTTATGTATTATGTGGCAAACATTCTTAAACTACCATTATATCAAAATTGTAACTTTCTAAATGAGTGTAGAAGCCTCCATGTGACCTGTCCCAAAGCACTCTCTTGTACTGCCCTAAAACGATAATGACTATCTTGACTGCTGTGATAGTAACTTTCCAGCATCCCTTTATAGTTTCATCACTTAAGTTTCTCTTTTTAGCTACAAGTTTCCTGCATATCTGCCTGGTTTTATCCTCATGAAATTTATTTGTTGAAGAACCACAGTCATAGAACATGTGGAGGATTTCATGGTCCAGATTTTGCTTTTTGAGTTCTTGTGGTGTAGCTAAGCATGTTTCTTTGTCTCATGGTATAGCTTGATATATTAGAAATTGGATCTGAAACTTGGATTGCTTCAGGCTTGATCACTTTTGCAAGTCTTTAGTATTGTTCTTTCATTAAAAGGCACATGATGTCTCTCTTCATGGTACTAGCCTTCAGTGCCTTATGCTGGATCTGTTAATTCATTAGGGATTGCAAAGTGGTCACGTTCTAATCTGTCATCTGAAGTTCATTTAGGAGAAGTAAAGTAAATGTTGATTTACCTCTTTATTTGCAAGTTTTAAAAATAATGAATTGATTCCCTGTCATCTTCCAAATGTGGGCTCTTTGGGCTGTGTATGTGTGTGTTTAGGTTTCATTAGGAACATAGGGATTTAAGCATTTTTGATGTATTTCAAGTTAATTGAAGTTAATATCTTTACTCATTCTCAGATTGTTTCTTTGTTGACCAGGGGAGCCTCTTTAGGTTTCTCCTAAGTTCTCTGACATGACACTGGTGGTCTGATAGCATACTTGTGTCATGTATGACAAGTTTTTCCAGGTCTCTCTTGTGTACTCCTGCCCAAAACCTGGAGGAAGCCATTCCTGCAAGGCACCCTTCTTGCCTTTATTGGGGAAATCGTGTTTTAAGACTGCAGTCTGGGACCCAAGGATGCTCATTGCTACTGAGTAGGTCATTGTTTCTAGGCCTTATTAGTGGGCAGAGCTAGGAAATATTATAGGTTGCAGGCTCTCTCTTTTTCTTTAAAAATCTACCATGAAAATATGTGTGTGTGCATGTGTGTGTGTGCATGCATTTATGGTAAACTAGCTCACAAGTTCTGATGGGTATTTCCAAATCAAATTCAAGAATATAGGGTTTTTACTTAACTCTTTCTATCCTGTATTTGTTTTTTTTGTTTCTCTTGGGTCTCAAGAAGCCAGGGGATGATAGAATATCATATATCCATTTGCCTTCTCCCAAAGTGTATGCATGAGAATTGCTATACTGCACCACGCACATGATTATGAGAAATAAAGACTTTTTTGCATATCCTTCTTTCATTCTCTTCACCCATTTTTTTTAACTAATTCTGTATCTATATTGTCAGAACATAGAGTATTGCATACTGTACTTTCTGCCTTATCAACCTTATTTCATGTTTTTATGTGAGTAAATATGCATTTATTTATCACCAGTCTTTATGTTGTTATCTCCTAGTTATCTTGGTTATTTTAGTCTTGTTCTACAAGAGAATTCCTTCAATTCTGATGTGTTTGTCACAGTTTGTTTTGTCGCCTTTTACTTGAAAGTGAAGTTGGCTCTATGTAAAATTCTTGTCTCTTTTATTTTTACTTTTTCTTTCTTTTCTTCTTTTTTTTTTTTTTTTTTGAGACGGAGTTTCGCTCTTGTTGCCCAGGCTGGAGTGCAATGGTGCAGTCTTGGCTCACTGCAACCTCCAACTCCTGGGTTCAAGAGATTCTCTTGCCTCAGCCTCCCGTGTAGCTGGGATTACAGGCGCCTGCCACCACGCCCAGCTAATTTTTGTATTTTTAGTAGAGACGGGGTGTCACCATGTTGGCCAGGCTGGTCTCGAACTCCTGACCTCAGGTGATCTGCCCGCCTCTGCCTCCCAAGTGCTGGGATTACAGGTGTGAGCCACCACACCCGGCTGTCTCTTTTATTTTTTGCTTTGAGTACTTGTTTTACTTCTGTCCAAAAGGGTTGCTATTAAAAGTGTTACAAGTTTTGATACGTTATAAACGTATCACTTTCTCTTGAATACTTTTATTTCTTTTTTTATTTCTAAAAGTTTCTTCTCTTCACCTTTTATAGCTCTTAAGGCATTATTGTTGTGTTCATTTCCTCATATTCCTTCTAGTTTTTTATGTCTGAAATTATTTTTGTTTTATTTCAAATTATTTGATTTCTGTCAGCTCATTTCTCAGTTTTTCTGATTTTGATTTATGTCATTCTTTCACATATTTTAGTATTTTTAAATATCTTATTTTAAATGGCTCATTTTGAAATGTAAGTTTTGTTTAATTGTTCAGTCTTTCATCCTTCAGTAACTGTGTTAGCTATAGGATTTTTCAGAGAAGCCCTTTATCAGGTTAAAGAAGTTCCCTTCTGTTCAGCTTGCTGAGTTTTTTCAAAAATGAATTTTGAAGATATATCATATAGTTTCTCTTTTCTGTTTTGTTAATGTGCTGCATTATATTGGTTGATTTTCAAATGTTATAGCATCTTTGCATTCCTTGAATAGACCTCACTTTGGTCATGCTGTTTTATTATTTTTTGTTGAATACAGCTTTCTAAAATTGTACTTACGATTTTGCACCTAAGTGCATGACAATAATTGGTTCATAGTTTTCTTGTGACATCTTTGTCTTTTTTGGTATCATGGCAATGCTGGCCTCATAAAATGAGTTAAGAAGTGTTCCCTCTTCTCCAGTTTTCTGAAGAATTTGTGTAAAATCCTTAGGATTTCTTCCCTAAATATTTGGTAGAATTTACCAGTGAAACCATCTAGGACTTTCTTTGTAGGAATGTTTTTAACTACAAGTTCCATTTCATTAATAAGGTATAAGGCTATTCGTGTTATCCATTTCCTCTTGAGTGAACTTTTGTTGTATCTTTCAAGGAATTTTTTTATTTTATTTACGATGTCAAATTCATTGACAAAGGCATAATATTTTATTTCTTTTATGTATCTATAGTATCTGTAGTGATAGTTCCTCTTTCATTCCTGGTATTAGATGTTTGTGTTCTATTTTTTTTTCTCATCAGTCTGGTTAGAGGTATATCAATTTTATTAATTTTCTCAAGGAACCAGCTTTTGTTTTCATTGATTTGCTCTACTGTTTCATTGATTTCTACTCAGTCTTTGTTACCTCATTTCTTTTGCTTACTTTGGGTTTTGCTCTGCTTTTTTTCTAGTCTTTTTCTTTTTTTTAAAGGTATAAAGCAAGGTCATTGACTTGAGACCTTTCCTGTTTTTTGTTTTTTGTTTTTAAACACAGGTGTTTAGTGCTATAAACTTTTCTCAAAGTACTGCTTTATCAACATCCCACATATTTTGATAAAGTACATTTTTAAATTTATTTCATGTTATTGTCATACATTTTACTTAAACATGTGATATAGAAATCTCAATAAATTTTTGTTTTTATTTAAACAGTAAATTACCTTTTAAAAGTATTTAAAATTTTTAAAATGTTATATATTTACCCTGTAGTTACCATTTTCGGTGCCTTTTACTTGTGTACAGCCAGATTGACCTACTGTATTCTTGCTGTCTGAAAGACCTCCTTTAACGTTTCCTTTAGTGCAAATCACCTGGTCATGAAGTCTTTATTTTGCCTTCGTTTTCGAAAGGTATGTTTCCTGGGTGTAGAATTGCAGGTTAACAGCACTTTTCTTTAAGAATTTAAAAGATGCTGCTTGACTTGTCTTGTTGTTTGCATTTTTTTTCTTATGAAATCTGTTGACATCTCTACGCTTTTGTCTATAAATAATATGTTACTTCTCTAGCTATTCCTAGCTAGAAATAAGATTTTCTCTTTACCACTGATTTTGAGCAGTTTGTTTATATAATGTGCCTTACTATAGCTTTCTTTATGTTTCTTGTATTTAGGATTAATTGAAATTCTTAGATCTTTAGGTTTACAATTTTTATCAAATTTGGAAAAATTTTGGCCATTATTTCTTCAAATATTTTTCTGCCTCCCCACCTCACTTTCATTTAGGGACTCTCATTACATGTATATTGGCCTGCTTGAAATTGTTCAGTGGTTCATGGAGCCTATGTTTATTTTTGTTATTTATTTAATTTTGGATAGTTACTATTGCTGTGTCTTCAAGAGTTCACTAGTTGTTTTTCTGCAGTATCTAACCTGTTGTTAATCACATCCAGTGTATTTCTCTTTTAAGTCACTGTAGTTTTCATATCTAAAAGTTCATTTTGGATCTTTGAAGTATTTTTGTGTCTCTAGTTAACATGTTCTTTCTCTGTTACCACTTCTTCACCATGTGTAATACAGTTATACTAACTGCCTCAGTGCCTCCACCTGCTAATTCTGTCATCTGTGTCAGTTTCAATTAATTGTTTCTTCTTCTCATATCGGGGTTGTGTTTTCTTAAGTGTTTGCATGCTTGGCAATGTTTACTTTGATGCCAGGCTTTGTGACTTTTACCTTGTTAGCTGCTGGATTATTTTCTTATTCCTATAGATATTCTTGAGCTTTTTTCTGTGATGCAGTTAAGCCACTTGAACATAGGCTGATCTTTTCAGGTCTTGCTTTTAAGATTTGTTAGCTGGAATTAAAGTACTAGTTAGTTTATGGCTAATATTGCTGCTCTCTGAAGCAAACTCTTCTGTGTAGACTACCCGATGTGCCCTTTGGCTGCACTATTTTATATTCCCACCAACAGTGCATAAGCATTCCAATTTTTCTACATTTTTGCGAAGACTTGTTACTTCTGGTTTAGTTTTGGTTTGTTTTGTTTTATAATGGCCATCCTAACAGGTTTGAGGTGGTATCTCATTGTGGTTTTGATTTACATTTCCCTGATGATAAGTGATGTTGAACATCATTTTAAATACCTGTTGGACATTTGTATTTATTCTTTGGAGAAATGTTTATTCAAGTGCTTTGCTCATTTTTAAAAGAAATATTTGTGTGTGTGTGTGTGTGTGTGTGTGTGTGTGTGTGTGTGTGTGTGTGTTTTGCTATATTCATCAGAGATACTGGCCTGTAGTTTTCTTGTATCTTTTTCTGGATTTGGTATCAGAGTAATGCTGGCCTCATAAAATGTGTATAGAAGTGTTCTCTTCAGTTATTTGGAAGAGCTTGAGAAGGATTGGTGTGAATTCTTATTTAAATGTTTCATAGAATTCTCCAGTGAAGCCATCTGGTTCGAGGTTTTCCTTTGTTGAGAAAATTTTTATTACTGATTTAATCTCCTTATTAGTTATAGATCTGTTGAGTTTTTTTGTGTTTTCATAATTTACTCTTGGTAGGTTGTATGTTTCTAGAAATTTATTTCTTATAAGTTATCTAATTTGTTGGCATATAATTGTTCATAGTTGTCTCTATAATCTATTTTGCTTGGTATTTTAGTTTTTTAGGGTGAGAAAGTAAATGTGGTTCCTGTTATACAAACTTGGACAGAAGCAGAAGTTTCATTCTGATTGATTTTAGTTACTTTGGGTGAAACATTACCATGTTTCAATGAGGAAGATATATATAAAATTATACTCAGAAAATACTTCCCACTATTCCTTCCAGCACATTCTCTCCACCTTTCTTTTCACCCTGTTACTGCCTATTCCCTGTAGGTAAGAAATCTCATTAGTTTTCTGGTTGACCCATTTAGTTGGCTTTTTGAAGTACTAATAACTGTTACATGTATATTTTTTATATCTCCTCTTCTTATATTAAAGATAGCCTTTTCCCCTTTTTTTTTTTTTTTTCATTTAACAGCCTATCCTGGATATCAGTTCATAGAGATTTTCCTCATTCTTTCTGGTAGCTTCCTAGTGTTCTACTGTGGATTTACTGTAATTCAGTCACTCTCCTATGTCTGGGCATTTAGGTTGTTGCCTAACTTTTGCATTTACAAACAATGTTGCAATGAATAATCTGATACATTTATATTTTCCTATTGGAAGTTTAGTAATCCTGGCTCACTTTGGGAATTTCTTCACCAACTAAATGATAAAAAATTGGAATCTAAGTCTAAATAATACGCAAGTCGAAGAATTCAGTTTCTCATGAGCGCACTGTTTTCACCCCAAACTTGGGAATAAACAAATAACCTATCAACTTGTAGAGATGGTAGGTGAAGTATTCTTAGTCACTGTGTGTCTTAGTCAGTTTGGGCTGTTATAACAAAAGTACCACAGACAGGATGGCTTAAACAACAGGAATTTATTTCTCAGAGTTCTGGAGGCTGAGCAGTTCAGAAATCAAGGTGCCAGCTGATTTGGTTCTTGGTGAAAGCCCTTTTTGTGGTTTGCAGACAGAAGCCTTTTTGCTGTGTCCTCACATGGTAGAGAGAGACATCAACTCTCTAGTTTTTGTAATACGGGCACACTAATCCCATTCATGAGGGTTTCACCCTCATGACTCAATTACTTCCCAGAGGCCCACCCTCCAAGCACTATCACACTGGGGATTAAAGATTCAGTCTGTGAATTTGAGGTGGACACAAATACTCAGTTCATAGCACTGCAGGTATAGTTTTGAGGACCCTAGCTTTATGTATTAGTCTCAATTCCAACTTCTTACCTTGCATAGACCCAAGGCCTCTTCTGCTGCCCTCCCCTTACAATACAAGCCTATAGTTGGAACCTTATTCTACAGGCCTTTATAAAGACTGCCAGGGGTGGTGCTTCTCTGCTGATTAATACTGTATTTTTTAAAAATAATCTTTTTTCTAGCATCGGAGAAGTTCTCTTTCACATGAGTATAAATTTTTTAAACATGTTTAAATATTTTATTCGGCAGTTTGGAGAGGAAGGATTTTCATGTTAGTTTAGTTCACTAACGTTGCTGGATAACTGACATACAGACTTGCATGGATGCTCTCATCTGCTCACATACCATTTATCTTTGTAGAGGAATTATCCTGCAGAAAATGGCCAGGGTATTTAAGTGAGGAAATAACGAGGCAACTTTTTGACACACAAACCATTTAACTCTCACCTCAAGGAAATTTGCCAAAATTTGTCCAAAATTTGAAAAATCAACAGTTAAGGAGGAAAATGGCTGGTGATAGCTGAGATGGAACAGGGTGGCTATATAATTTTTGAAATGTACCATTTATACAAAATATAAATGTTAATTGTGTTGAATTGTTTCATTTTCCCTTATGTGCATTTTAGGCAATAATTCTAAAGAGAAATGAAATTCAAAAACTGGGAGTATCTAAACTCAACTGCTGGGTAAGATTCAATGTTTTTAATGCAGTTTATTTAAATTCTACTTTTTATTTCTATAAACTGAACACAGTTAATATGCTTTAAAATGCTAATGATTTATAATTAATAAATAGCTACTGTCTTAAAAATAGTTACTATCTAAGGTAGATAGATATGTAAGGAAATAGTCCTTCGCAAGGACTAGAAATCATTTTCAAGAAGTTAGCTCACATATTTCACAACTAACTTTCAGGCCACTCTTCCTTTGTGTTTCATTCTGCTATATCCATACAGCCTTGCTTTTTAAAATGTGTTTGTCTTGAGTTTCTCTCTTTAGCTTCAGTTAACCTTCCCTTCACCATAACTCAAGTTTGTAGTTTCTTGCCAGCTTTCTCCTTTTCTTTCCTCTGCATCTATCCATCATCTGTCTCTCTTTCCTTCTGCTTCCAACTTTAGACTCTATTACTTTTGTCCTTTTAACATTTTCCTTACAGTCTCCCAGCCCCTTCTAATTTGAATTCAGCCACTACCTAATTTTTGCTTGGCTTCTTCCCAAATATGCAGATGGATGGCCCATATTACCTCCATGGTTTCCTAGTAAAATAAGTTATTAGGCAGGTAGTGCAACTCCTAAATTCTCTTAATATGAGACAGACAATATTCTTTTTCTCTGGTCTGTGATGTTCTTCTATTAAAAAATAAACCCTGGGCCACACACACTGGCTCACGCCTATAATCACAGCACTTTGGGAGGCCAACGTGGACAGAGAGCTTCAGCCCAGGAGTTTGAGACCAGCCTGGGCAACATGGCAAAACCCTGTCTCTACAAAAAATAGAAAAACTAGTTGGGCATGGTGGCATGAGCCTGTGATCCCAACTACTCAGGAGGCTGAGGTAGGAGGATCGCTTGAGCCCTGGAAGGTTACAGTGAGCCATGATTACCCCATTGCACTCCACCCTGGGTGACAGAAGAAATGAACTGTATGTTTACATGTTATATATTGAAAGGATAAGTCTGGAAATGTTACAAGTTGAGGAGGTAGGTTCCTACACACAATACAAGAGAACAAAATGGAAGGAGTTGCTATTTTCTCCTTGTTGGAGGCATTCTCCCATCCTTTATGGTGAAAATATAGAAAGATTTGTCCACTAAGTTGTTGAATGAATGGCATGATGCTTTTTTTGTCTTTTTATTATTCTTTATTGGTTCTACCAATTTGACTCTTTACCCAGGCCACCTGTCCTTAGGCATGCAGGCTTTGTAGAAATTCACATATCGACATTACACTTCTAATATATAATTCTTTCACTTCAGAAAAATTGAGCAATTTAATAAAAGAAGGTCAGAATTTCAGTTGCAAACTATTGAAAAATGACAATAAATAGTAGTGTGTCCATAAACATCAAAAAAAATTCTGCCAAGGCTGCACTCAAAGGAAAATTAACTGTCTTCATTTTCAACAACATTTTCAATAGTAGACTGGAAAGAACATGAATTGACTAAGTTTTAAAATCAAGAATATCAAAGAAACAAAAAATCTAAGGAGGGAAAAGTTGAGATTTAACCAAATGTTCAGCTTACATGTTTTTTAAGCCTCCCTAGGTATTATCTTCTGTTTTTAGCTCTGTATATCTTTGGCAAAAATAAGTATTTATTACACACAACCTGAACAAGGAAGGTATTTTTAGATCTAAGTGATTCATTTTAGAGTTTAACGTCAATAGAAGCAAATTCACTGTTTAATGGGAGACGCCAATTTTTGGTGACAAAGTAATTATTGAATTGAGCGCATGCTGAAATTTACAAAATTTACAAAGGGGAACTTTGTGTGCACCATGAGGCATGAGAATCATTACAAGAAGGGAAATGAAACCTCCAAGATAATCTAAAGCTCAGTACTAAGGCCAGATAAGGATAGTATGAGAAAGGATATTCTTACTCATGAGCATAGATTCAAAATTTCACCTAGATTAAAAACATTCCTTACACACAAAAGTGTAAAAGATTAGTAACTCAAGAGCAGCCATATATCTGATAAAGATAATCCACTTGTGATAAATCTGGCTTATTCTAGGAATCCAAAGATGTTTCTGGAAAATCCAAAAATGTAAATTATCATACTAAGAGATTAAAAGAGAAAAATGTCTTATGATCATCCCATTAGATGCAGAAAATAAAATTGATATAATTGAACACCCATTTATAATGAAAACATTTAACACAATATAAATAACAGTTTTCTCAACCCAGTAAAATTCTTCAGCAGTCATTAGTCTTACCGATAATAAGGTATTTAGAGTGTTCTGTTTAAAATCAATATAAAGATAAATGTGCTTTTTCACATTTTATTAAAGGTCCAAAGTAGCCTAGTAATGCAAGAAAAGTAAATAATAGGAAAAGGAAAGAAACAGAAAGAAGCAAAATTTATTATAGTATCATATTTACCTAGAAAGAATAAAATGATTGACAGACAAATTATTAGAAATTAGAAGAATTCAATACCATGGCTAGATATAAGTTTAATATTAAAAAATCAATTGCATTTCTATTCTTTGGCAACACACAGAAAACATATTTTTTTAAATATGCCTTATGTATTAGAAAAATGCATAGGATCTGAATGAATCTAACAAAATACATACAGTATTTGTATGGGGAAATTTATTTTAAAATTTCTAAGATATAAATAGAAAAATAAAACACATTTATATGTATGAAGTTTCATGTAATTCAGTTCTCCCCAGTTGATGTTCAGATTCAAAGCAATTTCAGCAAGATTGTCTTGCAGGTCACTTTTCACTAAATGATGCTGGAATAGTCTATCTATATGAGAAAAACCGTATGTTATACACAAATATCAGTTCCAGGCCTAGCCATTTTGAATGTTCCTAAGCTGGATGTCTTTTTGACATGTCTTTATAAATTTATAATGCTCCAGGCTTTTCTTGATTTTCCTTGTGCTAGCCTTGGAATCAGCCATTTTTCCAAGGAGCCCTGCTTCCTTTTAGAGGAGAATGGTATTTGGAAACCAAGACCTGAGTGGTATGTGCACTCATTACTGCCAGTGTGTCCTTGTTTCTAGGCCCTTTCACTGCACGTATGTGCACACGTGTGTGTGTATGAAATCATGATTTCATAACTATAGCTCCAATCCCAGCATAATGCTATAGAAAGGCAAACTAGTTAGGTACCTCAGAACTCACAGAAAAACACCACAGGCTGCCATCTCCTGAAACTCCATCCAGTGGCAGAAGACACTCAGAAAGAGGGTCCAGGGAAATGCTCTCCATGCTGTGGGTCTGGTATCTACTATTCCCTCCAAGAAGGCTTCCCATGCAGGTAGCAGCAGCAGGGATCTAACAGGTGCCCTGCTAGGACTAGGCAGCCCAGGAAGGAGCCCTCTGCTCTTTACCGACCTCCTAGCCCACAATCCTGGTGTCTCTCACCCTCCACCTCATGGCAACACGACATGGGAAGTACATTCTTCCTACATTGGTAGCATGATTTGGGGCTGAGACGGAGCACCAGGGCACCAGATGAATCAAGCTGACCAGAATAGCACTAGCACTGCAAAGGCTCTGAAAACTAAACTGTCATTGTAACTATAGCAAACAGAAGTAGGCCAGGACTTGCGTGATAAACCTAAAAACAAAGTGACTCTCTGCTGAAATAGAAATTTAAAAGAGGATCCACAGTCTCTAACATAATATAAAAATGTACTGGACACAGTAGAAAAACCACTCATCATAGCAAGAATGAAGAAAATAACAACTTGAATGAGAAAAGACAGTCAACAGATGTCAACACTGAGATGAATAGGATGTGGGGATTATGTGACAAGGTTTTTAAAGCAGTCATCATAAACACACTTCAATGAGCAGTTTTAAATACTCTGGAAGCAAATGAAAAGGCTATAAAAGCTCACCACAGAATTTTTTTTTTTTAAGAAAGAACAACTTGGCCGGGCACGGTGGCTCACGCCTGTAATCCCAGCACTTTGGGAGGCCGAGACGGGTGGATCACGAGGTCAGGAGATCGAGACCATCCTGGCTAACACGGTGAAACCCCGTCTCTACTAAAAATACAAAAATTACCCGGGCATGGTGGTGCGCGCCTGTAGTCCCAGCTACGCGGGAGGCTGAGGCAGGAGAATGGCGTGAACCCGGGAGGCGGAGCTTGCAGTGAGTCGAGATCGCACCACTGCACTCCAGCCTGGGCGACAGAGCGAAACTCCGTCTCAAAAAAAAAAAAAAAAGAAAGAACAACTTGGTGATTATAGAACTGAAAAATACAATAACTGAAATTAAAATTTAATAAGTGGACTTGGTAGCAGAGTGAATATTACAGAGGAAGCAATCAGTGCTCTTGAAGACAGAACAATAGAAATCTCCCAATCTAAATTGAGAGAAAATCACAGGAAAAAGGACAGAGCCTCCAGGACCTATGGTGTAGTAACAGAAGATCTAATATTTGTATCATCAAAATTTCAGAAGGAATGGAAAAAGAGAGTGGGGCTGAATAGTATTTTAAGAAGTAATTGCTAAAACTCCCCACATGTGGTGAAAGACACATCTGCAGAGTGAAGATAACTGAGCGATTCCCAAGTAAGACAAACCTAGAGAAATCCATGCAAAGATACATTATAAGTTAACTTTTAAAATGAAAAGAAAAAAATCTTGAAAGCAGGTATGGAGAAATGACACATCACCTACAGGGCAAAATTGAGTTGAATTGTAGCAGACTTCTTATGTGAAAATAAGGAAGCCAGAAGGTTGGGGCAGAACATTTGTCAAGATGAATTACATATCCAGTAGATGTTTCCTTTAGGAATGAAGGGGAAATAGACATTCTCTAATCAATGAAAATTAAGATAATTTGTGGCTAGCAGAGAACCTTAAAGAATGGTTAATTGAAGTTGTTTTGTAAGGTTTGTGGAAGACCAGATGGTTGTAGATACGTGGTTTTATTTCTGAGTTTTCTATTCTCTTCCATTGGTCTATGTGCCTGTTTTTGTACCAGTACCATGCTGTTTTGGTTATTGTAGCCTTGTGATATAGTTTGAAGTCAGGTAGCCTGAGGCCTCCAGCTTTGTTCTTTTTGCTTAGGATTGTCTTGGCTATATGAGCTCTTTTTTGATAGCATGGAATCAACCCAAATGTCCATGAATGATAGTCTGGATAAAGAAAATGTGATACATATATACCATGGAATATTATGCAGTCATAAAAAGAAATGAGATCATGTCCTTGGCAGGGACATGGATGGAGCTGGAAGCCATTATTCTCAGCAAACTAATGTAGGAACAGAAAACCAAACACTGCATGTTCTCACTTATAAGTGGGAGCTGAACAGTGAGAACAGATGGACACAGGGAGGGGAACAACACACACTGGGGCTTGTCAGGGGAGGGTAGGGCAAGGGAGAGCATCAGGAAAAATAGCTAATGAATGCTGGGCTTAATACCTAGGTAAAGGGTTGATAGGTGCAGCAAACCACCATGGCACACGTTTACCTGTGTAACAAACATGCATATCCTGCACATGTACCCTGGAACTTAAAATTTAAAAAGTTCTGGAAACAAAAAGGAAATGCAAGAAGGAATCCTAGAATGTAGGGAAGAAATATAAAACAGCAAAGTAGATACACAGAGGGGTAGATATAATAGACTCTTCTTCTCATGAGCATTTCCTTTCGTGTACTTTTTTTGCTTTATTTCGTTATTCTTTATTTAGATTTTTAAGTCAAGGATTTAATTCATTTATTTTCACTCTTTCATTTTTATTGATAAAGCTTTTGAAGCCATGAATTTGCTTCTTATCCTTGCTTTAAATGTATTCCTTAGTTTCCATATGGAAATGGCATTTGCCTGCCATGCTGCTGCCATCATTCTATTTTTCACCTTTCTGAATCTGTTTTTGTTTGTCTTCCCTGTGTAGCATAAATTGAGTCTGTCTTTGCTTTGTGAGATAATGTGAAAACCCTTGTTGTAAGTTTTATGTGTATTTGACTATATTTGCTTTGTTTCTGTATATGATTCTCTTTTATTTTAAACTTTTTTAATTTAGGAAAGTTACTGTTATTTCCTCAATTGTTGCATATTTGAAACTTTTTAAAATAACGTCTATACTTGAATGACAGATTGGCCAGATATAAAGTCCTTGGTTCTCAATTTTTAAAGTTTCTTAAAAATGCATCTACACCACTGCTTTGGTTTGTATGTTTCTTTTAACAAGTCTGATGCTAGCCAAATTCTTCTGTCCCTTATAAATTATGTGACTTTTGTGCCTGGAGGTTCTGAGGAATTTTTCTTCATTTTTCATAGTTCTACTGAAAGATGTCTTGAGTTAGTTTACCATACCAGATTAATTTTTTCCAGTACCCCCTGGATCCTTTCCAAATGTCGATTCAGGTCTTCTTTTATTTCTGGAAAGTTTTCTTGGATTATAATTTAAACACTAGTTTTGATTCATTGCTGTGGTTTTCTTTTTCAGGCACTCCGGTTATAATTATGTGCCTTTCTTCCATTTCTACCACTTTCTCTGATACTTCTCACTTCTTTCTCTGGTATCATTTTCATTCTTCATCATTGTTTTAGTGCCTTTACTTCAATTCCTTCATTATTTGAATTTTTCTTTTTATCATCTTGTGATTGTTTTTATTTTTTTTGATAGTATTCTCCTTTTCTTCCATTTCCTTTCTATGTCTAATAAACTCTTTATTTCTTTCTGCTTTTTTCCCCATTTCTATTCTTGGTTTTTGAATTTCTTGTTTAAATTGCTTTTTTAATATTTCTGAATGCTCATTTGAGGATATTTAGTTCAACTTTTAATTCTGCATTATTTTCTTCTGTTTTGCGAGATTTTATCATTCAGTGGTGTGGATTTCATTAGCTGAAATATTTGACTTTCATGTTTGTTATCTTCTTAAAGAAGCTTTGGATATTTATATAGGCATTTTTTCATCTATTAATTATTTTGTGTTTTCTAGTCCAGGTGCAAACCTCTTCTGAAAATGTAGCATAGTGTGATTTTTTTCAATGAATAACTTTCTTCTTTTTTTGTGCTTGATGGCAGTAGTGATGGATAGTCTTTTGGTTTGGGTTCTCATTTTTCCTGCTGGATACTTTTTCCTTCTTGCACTCCCCTTTTTATCCTCCTTTCTTTCCAGAAATGATGGCTTTCTAACATCGGTGTTTTTGTCCCTACTCACTCTTAGGGACTGCCTAATGCTCTGTACTCCCATTTACCAATCTCCCAGAGCTCTTTTTACACATAGGATGGACTTTTCTCTTTCTTGGGTTATTTTATTTCCAATTTTGACCCCTGTCTTTCCTTTTCTTCTTTATCCTTTTATGGGTCTCCCCTCATTCTCTGCAAAGGCTTAGGTCAGGGACTTGAGGTATAACTCTATAGATTCGTTGCCTCCTTTTCCATTCATAGGTAATTTGAAGTTTTTTGCCATGTATGTGGTTGTATTGCTGTACTTGTTGGTTGATATATGCAGAGATTTGAATTTAGGCTGCTATAACTTTCCCCAGGCTAACCAGAAGTACACAATTGTTCCCTTTTTAATCAAGGCTAGTCAAAAAATAAACAACAACAACAACACAGAAGCCTCATTGCCGTTGTAGTTCATATTCCTCTTTCTTAAAGGAAAGCTTAAGTTTTCACATTTCAAACAGTTATTTCTTGAAGATGGGCTCATATATTTCCACAGGAGTGGTAGAAGAACTTTTAAGGTAGTGTTTTAAAAAATGGATTTTCAGCTGAGAAATAATATTTGGAAACAAACACATAAACACTCCCTTTTCTTAACAGAAATCAAAAGGAAGTAACCTTTTAAAACTTCCTTTAGATTGGCTGGGTGCAGTGGCTCACGCCTGTAATCCTAGCACTTTGGGAGGCCGAGGCGGGTGGATCACGAGGTCAGGAGATCAAGACCATCCTGGCTAACACGGTGAAACCCCGTCTCTACTAAAAATACAAAAAATTAGCCAGGCATGGTGGCGGGTGCCTGTAGTCCCAGCTATTCGGGAGGCTGAGGCAGGAGAATGCCGTGAACCCGGGAGGCGGAACTTGCAGTGAGCAGAGATCGTGCCACTGCACTCCGGGCCTGGGGGACAGAGCGAGACTCCGTCTCAAAACAACAACAACAACAACAACAACAACAACAACAACAACAACAAAACTTCCTTTAGATTTAGGATATGTATAAGCAGCCACTTTTCCGATGCACACGGGGTTTTTTCTTTGTTCAAATCCCCCCTTCCTCTGTCTCTGTACGGGGAGCTGTTTTCTTCTTCCTTCTTTCTTTCTTGGCTATTAACCTTTCACTCAAGACAAAAAAAAAAAAAAAAAAAGATTTAGGATATGTAGAATTCTAGTGTTGCTATATATTTTATACCAGTGTCATCAGTTTTAATTCTTTGCTTTTAAACAAGATTTTCTAAAGGAACTTTTTTAAAAAACTTCACCATTTATACCTCACATAATTAAATTTTTTCTGTGTCATTTATAGATATAATTGAATACTTTAGCTGGGTGATTTGTAGTTTTAAATACTGGACTTCTATTTTATTTTCTAGCTAATTCAAGGTAGTGCCTGGTGGTGTGGAACAATCATTTTGAAATTTCTGACATCTAAAATCTTAGGCGTTTCAGACCATGTAAGTACTTTTTAGTTAAAACATAAAAGTTCTTATAAATATGTAGCTGAATGAAAACTTTGAAACCATCTATTCTTATCTCTTCATTTTACAGAAGTTAAGTGCCTTCTTTAAGGTCTCTAGACGAGTTATTGGCAGAGTCAATAATAAAGTCACTAAAAAGAAAAAATATTCATGAATGCTGACTTGCCCTTTTAGTAAAAACATATTAATAGTTTGTTAAGTAGTTATTTGTTTATATTTCAGTTAAAATACAAATAATTAGTTGTTTACATCATAAGTTATCCATTTATTGCAGATGTTAACATACGGGAGGCTGTCCTAAGCTTTGAAAATATAGAACTCTTAAAATCTCAGTATTGTTTTATTTATTTATAAGTATGGACTAAAATCAATGTATGATTTGATGTTTTAAGGCCTTTCTTGTTATATAAAAAGAGAATGTTAAAAAATTTTGATCTTTTCATTTTCTAGGAAATACATGCAGAGCATTTATCTCTCATGTAGTATTTCTGTTTGTTAATGTTTTAAAGAGTAGCCCTTTTCAAGGCCTAAGTCCCTGCTTAACTAACTGGTTTAGGGAATAGAAAACAATGCATGAATCTACTTTTTATTTCTAGCACTTTCTGTTTAGAAATAAGCATACATGAGTATATCATACAATAATCAATTTTGAAATTTACCTCATTTAATGCTATCCAATTAGGGCCCTGTTTGATGCTGAAATTATGTACTTTGGCAAGGGATTATAGTATTACTTCTCTAAAAGGTCAAATGCTATCTCTATGCAATACAACATGCAACATGTTTATATTAAATAAAATTTCTAAATGTAAGCATTTGCCATTTATTGCTAGTTTTGCATGGTGGTTTATTAGTTTATTTGTTGCTGCTGTTCTCTGGCATGTCTGACACATTTCCCCATTCTCCTTTCCTTTTTATTGTTTTTAACTTTATTATATATGTCTTATGATAAACTTTATTTAGACCTTCTAAGTTATTTATTTATCTGTTAAGTTTGTTCATGATTATGTTTCTTGCCTTACTTCACGTTGACCCCCAGCTCTTTACAAATCTAAATCTTTTTTTTTTTTTTTTTTGAAACACAGTCTCACGCTGTCACCCAGGCTGGAGTGCAGTGGCCAATCTCGGGTCATAGCAACCTCCATCTCCTGGGTTCAAGTGATTCTTGTGCCTCAGCTTCCTGAGTAGCTGAGATTATAGGCATGTGCCACCATACCCGGCTAATTTTTGTATTATTAGTAGAGATGGGGTTCCACCATGTTGGCCAGCCTGGTCTCAAACTCCTGACCTCAAGTGATCCGCCTGCCTTGGCCTCCCAAAGTGCTGGTGATTACAGGTGTGAACCACCATGCCTGCCCTACAAATTAAAAAAAAAAAAAAAGCAAACACACTTCCTTGGTAGTCCTGAGTGACTTCCTTTATGTGACAGTTACGAGGAATACCTGAAATTATAGTGGTTTGGTTAAATTACTATTAGTCACCAGGCCTATTCTAAATTAGAAAAATAAAGTGCAACTCTAAATTATCCTTGAGTACTGGTAAATTAGGAAAAATAATTGAATGAAAACCACTCATAATCATCAAATTTGTTATAAAATAATTTCTGTCACTATAAAATAATTTGAATTAAGAGTTTACTTGCCAAATATTTTCCTTTTTCTGGCCTTCTGAGGATGCTGTGGAAAAATAATTGTCTCACCAAGAGCAGGTTGTAAATAATAGTAGAAAAATAGAAGTTCTGCATTGGGTTTGGTTGTTGGTATCTACTTTTAGCCTTGGAGATCAAATAGCTAAGTCAAAGATCAAAGTGGTGTGTATAACTGTTGTAATTCTTATGAGGATCAGGTCTCATATGCAATGGTTTGAATATATGTCTGTAAAACATCAAGAAGTACCAAATATTGTAATCAGTCTGCAAGGCTTTGTGAAAATGACAGTGCACAGAAAGCTTATGACCTACAATGTATGTTGAAAGAGGTTAAGTAAAACAGTTTTTCATGATAAATTGTCTTATTATAAAATATAATTAACTACATGGTGGTTTCTTCTCAGCAGATATTGATTTTAGCTCACTCTTTATCATCTTCTCTTTATTTTTTCTGACTTCTTTCTACTTTTCATTTTTCATGATATTTCTCTTTATTTTCAGTTATCTTGAGAAGTCAGCACATCGTATATTTGGTTCACTGTAGTTTTTTGTTTTCTTAGTGGGATGTCTAAATACATTGGATTTATCTGTTCTATAAACTTTGTTATTCTTACATCAATAAAGTATTACTGGCTAAGGCTATAATCATTTGTGTAATTTTAATTCATTTTACTTTATTTTCTCCCAGATTTGCCTGAGTGATCTTATAGCAGCCGGAATCTTAAGGTATACAGATTTTGATACTTTAAAATACACCTGTTCTCCCGAATTTGACTTCATGGAAAAAGCGGTATGAATGTTTCTTTTTTCCTTCTCTACTAATATGAGTTTTTGCTCTAGGTTTTTTTAAAATCTGAAACTCAAAATTTTTGCTCAGAAACAGTCAACTTATTTTATATTTTTTTACTGTAACTTTTGCTAATCTACCTTCCTCACTTGTTTTTTTGTCTGTTGAAAAAAAAAAGATAGCCTCTATCTTATAGAGTTATTGATGATGGTTAAATGAGATAATCTGAGAAGAGTGTTTAACATACTATATGACCCATAATAATTACTATTATTCCAAATCAATTACTTTTAATAATCTAGGCCACTTGGAAATATGGGACCATTCAGGAAAAAGTCTAAATTCTTGTTTCTGTTTTTAAGAAATTCAGTTTTATTACAGTTAACACCCCAAATATTATAACATTTTTAACAAGGTGTTACCAAGAAAGGTATGCTACTGATGAGTTTTAATGAACATATAAAAATTCATTTTAAATTATACAAATGCAAGGTATTATTCTTTTTAAAAAGTTCATGTTATAAAGCTTTAAAATATAGGCTGGGCGTGGTGGTTCATCCCTGTAATCCCAGCACTTAGGGATGCTGAGGCGGGTAGATCACTTGAGGTCAGGAGTTTGAGACCAGCCTGGCCAACATGGTGGTAACTCCATCTCTACTAAAAATACAAAAATTAACCAGGCATGTTGGTGCATGCCTGTAGTCCCAGCCTGAGTAGGAGGCTGAGACAGGAGAATTGCTTGAACCCTGGAGGCGGAGATTGCAGTGAGCTGAGATCGCATCATTGCACTCCAGCCTGGGTGACAGAGTGAGACTCTGTATCAAAAAAAAAGAAAAAAAAATTGGCCTCTTTGTAGAATCATGGAACACAAGATCAGGAAGGGCTCTTAGAGACCATGCCATATAGTTCTTTCATTTGCAGATAAAGAAAAGCTTAAAAGGTTTGCCTAAAGCACACACAAGCCAAGATCAGGACATGGATTCTAATGGATTCTGGAACTCTCAATCCAGGGCTCTTTCCTCTATTTGTAGCTTAATTTTCTTCATAGAACATAACAAAGTTGCTACTGGATTGATTATTCCTTGTGTAATCATTATGAATTCTGAATTAGTGGTAAATAATAAAATTTTACATTCTTCTCTTATCCATCCAACCAGTCATCCCATTCATTCAAAAACTATTATTGACCACTAGTTATCCATGAGGCGGTTTGCTATAGCACAACAAAGAGGAAAATGAACTGGTTTCTTGCTTTTAAGAAATGTATAATTTAGTTACATGGTAAATTACTCCTTATCACAATAACAGGTCATCAGAATTAGTTAGCCAATGTTATTTCTGTACTTATGCATAGTTTTAGTCATTAACTTTGGTTAGCTTTCTTTCTTGTTAGCTCTAGTTTCACTAATGAAAATAATGGAGCTGTGTAGTACAGAAAGTTACAATGTAGGACCCAGGGATCGGTAAACACACATTTTAAAACTTAGTATTATGTAAATAAAAAAAAGAAAAGAAAAAATAGATATAGCAATTCTAGTTTTATTAAAATAATAAATTTTTCATTAAATTTTTGGAATACTTTTTATAACTATTTTTATAATTTTAATTATTTCATTAAGGCATGGAAGACAATAAATATATATTCTGCTGATGACAAAGAAATTTAACCTTTTACTTTTAAGGAATGTTATCATGGCACTTAGTTTGACATAGATGTTTACTAATTTAATGTAAAAATTGTAACTATTTTGAATAATTTGGTATATTTCAGACTCTGCTGATATACACAAAGACATTATTGCTTCCAGTTGTTATGGTGATTACATGTTTTATCTTTAAAAAGGTATTTTTAAACAAATTATTATTTGTTTTTGGCATCAATATAAGGACTATAATAATGCAAATTGCTCAGAATTCCATGTTATTTTTAGGATGAACTCTTCCTCTCTCTAAAAGTTTGCTTTTTATTTAGATCTTTCATCATCGATCTTTTTATAAAAAGCCATGATAAAAGGTATTCTTATTTTTTCTTTCAAAAGATATATACCAGTCACCAACTGTGTATCAAGGACTAAATTAACATTGTAGGTACACCCGGACAAATAAAACGTGGCCGCTCCTGTCTTGGAACTTACAATCCTGGATTATTGGGGGTGGGGGTGCAAACATGAAGCAAATAATCCCACAAACGTCTAAAGAATTAAAATTTTTATAGGTGCTATGAAAGAAAAGTCTAGTGACAACAATGTTAGTATCTTTCAAATATAAAGCACAGTGAAGTCTTGATCTATTTTGAGTGAGTCTGCGTAGAAGAAATCTGTATAGCTAATTAAAAAATACTTTTCTACATGTTCACTGTTTTCATGACAGAAGAAAAGAACATCTCAATGAAAAAAATAATCTTTAAAATACCACTGGTAGGTTTTCTTGGTCTGGGTGGAGTTTATCTAAAAGCATGGTTAAAGACAGTGGGTATTTTTTTAAGCAGTCTTGAGCCATCTTTATTTATATTATTTACAAGCTATGAAGTCTTAAGCCAGTATGTATTTATTGTATACTTTTAAGCAGATAACAATAATGTGATTTCCCCACCACCATACCAGTTGTGTTCTTGTTGAAAGGAGTTTTCTGTATTTACAGTCAAATTGCATATCTTCTCTATGTAGTTTTAGTTGCCACACTTCTCACTCCTTTGTTTACACAGAGATGTGAGTAATTTAAGAGTGAGAAAGGCATCTCCCTCGACATCTCTGTTGTTTCACCCTCGATCCAGTTCCCTGCGGACCACGTGGAAAGAGTCAGGATAAAGGAAATAAGGAGGAATGAGTAAAATGTGAGCAGGTTTACTGCCCTGCATCCTTTCGGCCCATGCTGGCTTAGAATGAAGATTTTCTCTACTGGCCTGTTTCTTTTCCATCAAGGCAAAATGTCGAATTATTCTTCTAAGGCTCCACTTAGAGGGGCCAATGCATGAATTAACTATTCAGCGGAGAGTCAGCAATGTGAGAGAAACTGATAGCTAGATCTGCAACTGCTATATTTTAAAAAATTAAGATCCAAGACTTATAAATACATTACTAGTTTCCAGACACACCACAACCTGAACTATGCATGTGCACTAGCAGGGGCATGTGCATACACACACACACACACGCACACACATGTCCCTGCAGCCAGTCAAGTTTCATACACACACACGCACACGCACATACACACATACAAACATCCCTACAGCTAGCCAAGTTTCATACACACATACACACATATACACACACACACACACACAAAAATCCCTGTAGCTGGCCAAGTTTCATACACACACACACACACACTCTCTCTCTCTCTCTCTCTCTCTCTCTCTCTCTCTCTCTCTCATCCCTGCAGCCAGCCAAGTTTCACTCCTTCCTTTCTGCTTTCTTATAAACCCCTCAGTCTTTATTTGTCCTGTTGTGGCTTACTTTTCACCCCAAGGATACTTCTGAAGGTCATTTAGTTTTCAATGATGTGAAGTCACTTCTCAGAAGGAGAAAAGGAAGACATCTATAGTATGACCATCCTGTTCCTGAGGACTCCCTTAAACATTAAAAGAATACTTCTTTCCTTGGCGGAGTGTTTATATTAATGAATCAGAGCATTTTAAATATTGCAGTATTCCTTACAAAAGTTTCATTGATTTGATTCTATTCACAGACTGTTGGTGATATTTCGCGTGTTTTAGCTACAAACGTTTATCTAAGGTAATTATATCATCATTGTTTTTAAAACATACAGTATTCCATTATTAAATAATTTACTGTAGCATTAATTTTTCAAATGAATATGCATTAAACTTTAGCATTATGATTAAGAAAGGAGATATGAACCAAACTTAAATGTTTCCTTAAAAATATTATTCTTACAGATTTCTTACATGTATTTGGACTTGTTTTGGAGAAATTTATATTTGTGAACTAACTCAAAGTTTAAATTGATAAATTATAATATATGATTAGAATTTAAAGTCAGTAAGCTAAAGATTTATTTTTTTATTTTTATTTTGTATTATTATTATACTTTAAGTTTTAGGGTACATGTGCACAATGTGCAGGTTAGTTACATGTGTATGCATGTGCCATGCTGGTGTGCTGCACCCACTAACTTGTCATTTAGCATTAGGTATATCTCCTAAAGCTATCCGTCCCCCCTCCCCCTACCCCACAACAGTCCCCAGAGTGTGATGTTCCCCTTCCTGTGTCCATGTGTTCTCATTGTTCAGTTCCCACCTATGAGTGAGAATATGCGGTGTTTGGTTTTTTGTTCTTGCGATAGTTTACTGAGAATGATGATTTCCAATTTCATCCATGTCCCTACAAAGGACATGAACTCATCATTTTTTATGGCGACATAGTATTCCATGGTGTATATGTGCCACATTTTCTTAATCCAGTCTATCATTGTTGGACATTTGGGTTGGTTCCAAGTCTTTGCTATTGTGAATAGTGCCACAATAAACATACGTGTGCATGTCTTTATAGCAGCATGATTTATAGTCCTTTGAGTATATACCCAGTAATGGGATGGCTGGGTCAAATGGTATTTCTACTTCTAGATCCCTGAGGAATCGCCACACTGACTTCCACAATGGTTGAACTAGTTTACAGTTCCGCCAACAATGTAAAAGTGTTCCTATTTCTCCATATCCTCTCCAGCACCTGTTGTTTCCTGACTTTTTAATGATTGCCATTCTAATTGGTGTGAGATGGTATCTCATTGTGGTTTTGATTTGCATTTCTCTGACGGCCAGTGATGGTGAGGATTTTTTCATGTGTTTTTTGGCTGCATAAATGTCTTCTTTTGAGAAGTGTCTGTTCATGTCCTTTGCCCACTTTTTGATGGGGTTGTTTGTTTTTTTCTTGTAAATTTGTTTGAGTTCATTGTAGATTCTGGATATTAGCCCTTTGTCAGATGAGTAGCTTGCGAAAATGTTCTCCCATTTTGTTGGTTGCCTGTTCACTCTGATGGTAGTTTCTTTTGCTATGCAGAAGCTCTTTAGTTTAATTAGATCCCATTTGTCAATTTTGGCTTTTGTTGCCGTTGCTTTTGGTGTTTTAGACATGAAGTCCTTGCCCATGCCTATGTCCTGAATGGTAATGCCTAGGTTTTCTTCTGTGGTTTTTATGGTTTTAGGTCTAACGTTTAAGTCTTTAATCCATCTTGAATTGATTTTTGTATAAGGTGTAAGGAAGGGATCCAGTTTCAGCTTTCTACATATGGCTAGCCAGTTTTCCAAGCACCATTTATTAAATAGGGAATCCTTTCCCCATTACTTGTTTTTCTCAGGTTTGTCAAAGATCAGATAGTTGTAGATATGTGGCATTATTTCTGAGGACTCTGTTCTGTTCCATTGATCTATATCTCAGTTTTGGTACCAGTACCATGCTGTTTTGGTTACTGTAGCCTTGTAGTATAGTTTGAAGTCAGGTAGCATGATGCCTCCAGCTTTGTTCTTTTGGCTTAGGATTGACTTGGCAATGCGGGCTCTTTTTTGGTTCCATATGAACTTTAAAGTAGTTTTTTCCAATTCTGTGAAGAAAGTCATTGGTAGCTTGATGGGGATGGCATTGAATCTATAAATTACCTTGGCAATTTTTGGAATTCGTCCCTCCCTCCCTTCCTCCCTTCCTTCCTTCCTGCCTTCCTTCCTTCTCTCTCCCTGTTTTGTCTTGTCTTTCCTCTTCTCTTCTCTTGTTTTTTCTTTTCTTTTCTCTTTTCTTTTTTCTTTTCTCTTCTCTTGTCTTCCCTTCTCTTCTCTTCTTTTCTTTTCACAGAGTCTTGCTCTGTCACCCAGGCTGGAGTGCAGTGGCATGATCTCTGCTCACTGCAGCCTGGACATCCTGGGCTCACGCGATCATCTCATCTCAGCTCTGCCAAGCAGCTGGGACTACAGGTGTGCATCACCATGCCCAGCTAATTTTTGTATTTTTTTGTAGAGAGGGGGTTTCACCATGTTGGTCAGGGTTTTCTTTTTCTTTCTTTTTTTAACTTTCAGAGGGGGTAAAATTATTTGTGTTCCTGAATATTTATGAATTTTCTTCTAAACTTATTGTTGAAACTATTTATTGTATAACAATTCTGGATGGTTTTAGTAATGTCACTAGCATAAGCAGATGCCAGCAAAATATATCATATCAGTCACACATAAGTAAATTGCTACAAGGCTCAAGAAGTAAATTGTGAAGAAAATTTCCTTCTGAGGGAAATATGATCTCAAATGACATGTTTTTTAGTGTTCAACTTTTATTTTAGATGCAGGGGGCACATGTATAGGCTTGTTACATGGGTATATTGTACCCAGGTAGTGAGCATAGTACCTAATAGTAATTTTCAAGTTACATTTTATATTTGTAAATAGAATATTTGATTTTATTTTGTGACTTCTACTTTATAGAATAGTTTTAGATTTATAGAAAAATTGTGAAGATAGTAGAAAGAATTTCTATGAACTCCATACTCCATGCTTGTATTTTTAATAAACAGCTGTGTATGGTTGTCAGAAGAGCTAATTAAGCTCTTAGGTGCGTCTGTTGAAATTCTTTCCAAAATAAAGGGGATAATAGACCCATTCTACATTGTTCTGGACAGATGGAGCCCAGGGAAATGGGTCTTGGCATTCTAAAAAAGAATGAATGGAGAACCCTGGACACTGTTCCCATAAGGAGTGCATGAAGGGTCTTGGAATATTTAACTGGATAATAGAAGATTGAAGGGTATGTGGCAACTGTCTTCATATGTTGCAGAGGGTGTAATGTGGAAGTGACAGACTCGGAGGGATCAGTGGATGGAAGATAATTACTCAGAATATGGAAGTCTATGTATTGATTACATATTTGAAAGTGACAGGCCTGTTGTGTGTGGGCAGAGGGTTCTGGGTTAAATCTCAAAAATAATAATAGCAGAGGCTAGTAGTAATACATTCTGAAAAACCAGTGTATCAAAAAGAGAGGGAATACTCCCCTCTCTTAGATCTGCTCCCCTGAGTGCTGATTGTAAGTAGCTTTGTATGTTTTATTTTAGAAAACACATATAGAAACACAATATTTTTAAAAAATAGAATTGTATTCTACTTATTCTGTAACTTGTTACTTGTATTTAATAGTGTGTCTTGGGCCTCTTCCTTGATCTTCATTATATTTTATAATGGTCTTAGGATTTTATTGTTGACCATCATGCATGACTGCCTTTCCCATATCAATGAAAGTTTAGATTATATATAACTTTTGTCATAAAAAAACCAATGTTTTGAGGATTGAACATCCTGGTTTGTGTATCTTGGTAGACTTATTCTAAGTATTTCTATAGTATAAAATATTTGAATTTGGACTGCTGATTATGAGGCCTGCATATTTTAGAATTTGTTAAAACTGAGAAATTATAATGATGAGAGTGTCCATTTCTCTGCAACTCCACCAACATCGTTATCAAGCTTTTAATTTTTTCTGATAGGTAAAAACAATTCATTTTATTGTATAAATTCTATGTCAGTGGAGTTTTGCAGCTTTTCATGTGTTTGTTTACTATGTTTCTTTTTGACCTTTAAAAGTTGTTTTGTGGGTTGTTTTTTTTTTTTTCTTTTCATCTCGCTGCTGTGTATGCAGTGGCACAATCTCGGCTCACTGCAACCTCTGCCTCCGGGGTTCAAGCAATTCTCCTGCCCCACCCTCTGGAGTAGCTGGGATAACAGGCACCCGTCATCACACTCAGCTAATTTTTGTATTCTTAGTAAACACAGGGTTTTGCCATGTTGGCCAGGCTGGTCTTGAACTCCTGACCTCAAGTGATCCAGCCACTTGGGCCTCCCAAAGTGCTGAGATTGCAGGCATGAGCCACTGTGCCCGGCTATGTGTTATGTTTTTGCTTTTTCCATAGACATAACATTTTGTCTCTTATGTGTATTACACAGTTTCTTCCAAAATGTCAACTTATAGTTCATTTATGGTCTCTGCTTTGTAGAACTTCAAAGTTTCTGTACAATCACAGTTATATATTTTTTCTGGGTTCATATGTTGCTTAGAAACACTTCCCTACACCAAAAACATGAAATTTTTTTTCATATTTTCTTTCATAAGTTTCTATTTACATAGAGGTTATTTATTACTCTTGCATTAATTTTGTGGTATAGTGACATAGAGGAGTCTACCTTTCCCCCTCTAGTGAGGTATTGTCCCAACACAGTATTGCATAAATCTTTTTTCCAAATGTCAGCTTTTATCACTTATCAATTCTCATTGTACTTGAGTCTGTTTTAGATTGTCTGTTATACTGATCTTTTAGTTTATAGGAAAGCTGCTTTACTTTTTTTTTTTTTTTTGCAACACGTTTTTATCTAGCCATGTTACCAAACTTTCTTTCTGGTTCTAATAGTTTTTCCATTGATGCTCTGGATTTTCTAGGCAGGTTATCATATAATCTACAAATAGTAATAACTTTCTAATATTTATACTTCTTTACTTTCTTGTCTTGTGTATTAGCTAGAACTTCCAGAACAACTTTGAATTGCAGTGATGATGGGCTTGCCCTTATTTTGTTTCTGACTCTAAAGTGAAGAATGCCTTTAGTGTCTCACTGTTTCATTTGCTGTTAGTATATAATGGATAGCCTTTATTTCATTAAGAAAGTTTCCTTGGCCAGGCGCGGTGGCTCATGCCTGTAATACCAGCATTTTGGGAGGCCAAGGTGGGCGGATCACGAGGTCAGGAGATTGAGGCCATCCTGGCTAACATGGTGAAACCCCGTCTCTACTAAAAATACAAAAAATTAGCTGGGCGTTGTGGTGGGCGCCTGTAGTCCCAGCTACTCTGTAGGCTAAGGCAGGAGAATGACATGAACCCGGGAGGCGGAGGTTTCAGTGAGCTGAGATTGTGTCACCGCACTCCAGCCTGGGAGACAGAGTGAGACTCCATCTCAAAAAAAAAAAAAAAAAGAAAAAAAGAAAGTTTCCTTTTGGTTTATATAAACCAGGATAATTTTAAAAATTAAATTAAAGATAGATGTTGAAAGTGTATAATGTGTGAATTGTAACTCAATAAAGCAGTAAAAAATGAATGTTAAATTTTTTAAAAATGGCTTTAAAAATATTTTGGGGATTATTATATATTTTTTCTCCTTATTAATAACTACACTTGTTTTTAAAATTTGGTAAGAATGCTTAACATGTGATCTACCCTCTTAACGATTTTTTAATTGTATAATACAGTATTGTGGACTATAAGTATAACATTCTATAGTCGATCTCTCAAACTTATTCATCTGGCTTAACTGAAGCTTTAAGCCTGTTGACTAGTAACTCTCCATTTCCCCTTGTCTCAGCCCCTGGTGACACCCTTCCACTCTTTCACTCTATGACTTTGACTATTTTAGATACCTCATGTAAGTGGAATTTTGCATTATATATCTTGTGGGGTTGGCTTACTTCAGTTAGCATAATGCCCTTCAGGTTCATCCATGCTGTCTCACATTGAAGAATTTCCTACTTTTTTTTTTGGGCTGAACAATATTCCATTGTTTTTGTATGCCGCATTTTCATTATTCGTCTGTTGATGGACATTTAGTCGGTTTCCACATCTTGACTACTATGAATAGCACTGCAGTGAACATGAGAGTGCTAGTATCTTGTTGAGATTTTGATTTCAACTGTTTTGGATAAATACCTAGAAGTGGGATTACTGGATTTTATGGTAGTTCTACTTTTAATTTTTTAAAGATTTTTTTTGGTGAACCTCCATCCTGTATTCCATAGCAGGTGCACCATTTGAAATTCCACCTGTGCAGGGATTTCAATTTCTCTACATTCTTGCCAACACTTACTACCTTTTGTTTTTTGGATAATGTCTATCCTGACATGTACACTAGAGTTGTAATCTTTCTGCTGGTAGAAGGTCTTGCTTCAATGGTGATAGCTTCAGACTGATCAGGTGGCCGTGGCAATTTCTTAAAATAAGACAATGAAGTTTGCCACATTGATTGACTCTTCCTTTCGTGAAAAATTTCTCTGTAGCATACAATGCTGTTTGATAGCATTTTACCAACAGTAGAACTACTTTCAAAATTGGAGTCAGTCCTCTCAAACCCTGCCACGCTTTATCAACCAAATTTATGTCATCTTCTGAATCCTTTGTTTTCACTTCAACAATGTTCACAGCATGTTCACCAGGAGTAGATTCTATCTCAAGAAACCACTCTCTTTGCTTATCCATAAGAAGCAACTCCTCATCCATTAAAGTTTTATCATGAGATTGCAGCAATTCAGTCACGTCTTCAGGCTCTACTTCTAATTCAAGTTCTCTTGCTGTTTCCACCACATCTGGAATGACTTCCTCTGCTGAAGTCTTGGACCCCTCAGTGTCACCCATGAGGGTTGGAATCATTTTTAATGTTATATGAGAAGAAAGCATTCTAAGAAAATGACAGATAAAGTAGAAAATAAGTTGGAATCAACTGCTTCCCATCTCTTATTGATGTCAGTATTTTGACCTCCATCCACGAATCACAAATATCCTTAATGGCATCTAGAATGGTGAATCATTTCCAGAAGATTTTCAATTTACCCAAATCCATCAGAGGAATCACTATCTATGACAGCTATAGCCTTATGAAATATATTTCTTAGATAACAAGACTTGAAAGTTGAAATGACTCCTTGATCCAGCCTGCTTTCCTGCAACTTTAATCTCCTTGTCCATCTCTATCAGAGCTCTTGGGTGACCAGCCACATTGTCAATGAGCAATAATATTTTGAAAGGAATCTTTTTTTCTGGGAAGTAGGTCTCAAGAGTGGGTTTAAAATATTCAGTAAAACATGCTGTGACAGATGTGCTGTCATCCAGGCTTTGTTGTTCCATTTGTAGAGTAGAGGCAGAGTAGATTTAGCATAATTCTGAAAAAAGGCCTCAGGATTTTCAAAGTGGTAAATGAACATTGGCTTCAACTGAAAGTCACCAGCTGCATTAGTCCATAACAAGGTCATTCTTTTTTGGATTTTTCATAAAACCAGCTTTTGGTTTTATTCCTTATATTTATGAAGGTTGTTCTCCATTTTATTAATCTCTGCTTATATGTTTATGTCCTTAGTTTTTCTTTTGGTGCACTTTTGTTTTTCTGTGTCTAAAGTTCACATCATTTATTATCAATCATTATTGTGTCCTAGTAAATACATTTAAAGTTATAACTTTTTCTCTGAAGAAAACGCACACTGTATCCCATGATGTGTGTAGCATTACCATTAATGTTGATTTCTGTGTAGTCTGTGATTTGAGTTTTGATCATTTAATCCAAAATCACTTAGAAGAATGTCTTAAAATGTCTAACTAGTTTTAGGCCGGGTGCGGTGGCTCATGCCTATAATCCCAGCACTTTGGGAGGCCAAGGCGGGCGGATCACGAGGTCAGGAGATCGAGACCATCCTGGCCAACATGGTGAAACCCCGTCTCCACTAAAAATACACAAATTAGCTGGGTGTGGTGGCACGCACCTGTAATCCCAGCCACTTGGGAGGCTGAGGCAGGAGAATCGCTGGAACCCAGGAGTCGGAGGTTGCAGTGAGCCAAGATTGCCACTGCACTCCAGCCTGGCAACAGTGCGAGGCTCCGTCTCAATAATAATAATAATAATAATAATAATAATAATAATAATTTTTTAAAATGTCTAACTAGTTTCTTCTGTTGTATATTTTGCCTTTAAAATTAACTTGCTATTTATTGAGATGGATGTTCAGTTTTAGTAAATGCTCTGTGAGGATTTTTTAAATGTTCATTTCTTATTTAGGGGAAGTTCAAAGTTACATGTTATATCATGTTATTAATAGTGCTATTCTAAATGGTCTAGTACATCAAGTTATTTTTCTATTTTATCTGTTTTCTTAGAATGCTGTCTTCACATACAACATGAAAAATGAATTTTTCAAAATTGTCTTGTAATTTTAATAGTGTTTGCTTTATATAGATAGTGCTGTTGTTCATTGCATGATTATTATAGGATTGTACTTTTATTATAAAGGATATTCTTTGCTTTACTTAGTGGTTTTTTGCTGTAAATTTTTCTTTGTATAAAATTAATATTGCCACATCTGCTTTCTTTTTTTATAGATTTTCCTGGTTTACCTGTATTTATGCTTTTTTTTAAACATTTTTGTGACATTTTGGTTTAGGTATATTTCTCATTGTTAGATTTTTTCTATTCAAATTCCTCTAATACTCGTTTTCTAATTGGTGAATTTAACCCATTTTCATATTAACTGTGATAACTGCTGTGTTTGTACTTCTCCCTGCCATCTGATTTTATGTTTTCTATTCATCGTGCTTTTCAAAAATTATTTTCTTGATACTTGCTGAATTGTTAGCTATATCCCATTTCTATATTTCCTGGTGGTTTCTCTTAAATTATTAGCAAATATATTCATCTTGATATTAAGAATTCATCAGCATCTAAAACCTGTTACCACCAATGATAGTAGCTAACAGTTATTATTTCCTGTGTGTCTGACAGTATTTTAAGCTTCTTACCAGTATTAACTCAATAAATCCTCACAGTCACCTTGTGAGAAGGGAGTCAGTTATTCCCATTATTTACAGATGAGGAAACCAGTAAGAAGGTAAGTAATTTTCTGAAAGGCACACAGCTAGTGAGTAGTGGAGGCAGAACTCATACTCAGGCTCTGTACCTAGAGACCTGCTTGCTTCAGCACTGAGCTGTTGGAATATTTCTACTTGTCCTTGCCTAGACACCCTCTCCTTCCAGGTTATGCTGAAATTTACTTTCTAGATTGTTGTCTTATCTGTTATGTTCTAAGAAGTCTCTAAACATTTACATTAAAGACACCAGCAGTCTTTGGACTTGACTTCAAATTTTACTGATTTATTTTTCCTTGACATGTAGAATTGGCATGCTTTCTGGGTGCTTTCTTACCTGAAAAATGGCTTTATTTTGCCCTCATATTTGATTGATAGATTGGTTAATAGATATTTGTGGGTTTCATTCAACATTTTTTTGACATTGCTTCTTTGCGTTCTAGCATTAAGGATTACAGACGAAAATTCCTATATAGTTTTTCTCTCTGGAAATACATAAGGTTTGGAGGGGTGATGTGTGTGTGTTGTTGTTCTCTTATTCTTTCACTTTAGCCTCTCTTTTTTGAATTTCTATTATTGCTTTTATCATATTATCTATTTCTTTTCTTTCTGTGTTCTCAGAGAATATCATCACTGAGTCTTTAATACTGTCAACTTCAGCTGTGTACATTTTGCTCTTCAGCTTTCTTTTGAGGCTTTAAATTAGGCAAATATATTTTTCTTAGAATTTCTGAAAACTCCTTTTCACTGGAGCTTATTTTAATTATATGGGTGCATTATCCTTTTAAACTTCTGTGAAAACAATAATTGGAGTTTTCATTTGCATTAGCTGTTTCATGAGAGGTCAAGTTTTTTGCTTATTTATTTTGATGTTTCCTTTTCATGATATTTGTGTCTTGGGATTTGGTTGTATATTCACATTTTTAGTTAGCTACTTGATTTAAATAAAGTATCAGTAGTTACTTTCAGGGTTCTTGGTGATTATAATAATTACTCACCTACCAGGCTTCTTCCTTGCACGCAGCTCACTACAGGAATCTGTTGTGCCTAGATTGCGGGACAAGTGGGGAAACCCCACTCCGTTAACTGCATACACAGGGAAGGAGCTACGAGGGAGATAGAATAATTTGGTCTCTACTATTACCTTAAGAGACCTTCCCCCGTCTTCGATTTAAAAAAAAAACTACTGCATACAAAGGGTAGGAGCTACAAGGGACATAGAATAATTTGGACTCCACTACTACCTTAAGAGACCTTCCCCTGACTTCTCTTTTAAAAAACCTATGGGTCTCTGAACCCCTGAACTTACTTTCCACACCTATTTGTCTCTTCACCCCCAAAATCCATATTAGAATGCCCCTGCAGGCTATAAAGCCTTTCATAAAAGTAAAATACCCAGTCTTTTCAAGAGAACAATAAAATAGGCAGTCTCCTACCTCTTGTCTTACTCTAATATAAACTCCATGAAGATAAGTATTGTCTCCATACTGTTCATGCTGCACAGCAGTTGCCCTTATCTGCAGGGCGACACATCCCAAGACCCCCAGTGGATGCTTGAAACTGCAGAGAGTAACACACGTGATTGCCACCATCGGAACACATTTCTGTTCACGTCTTCCACCCACAGATTTAATGCCTTTTCCGTCTTAACTAAGCACTCATCATGGACTGTGGCCATAACTTTTGCAGTTTTAGATGCAACAGCAAAACTAACGTTAATTTTTTCTTCTTCTTCACAATTTCATGGGTAGATTTGTTCTTACCGTAGATCTTAGCAACCTCAGCATATGATGTTTTTCTTTTGAGAACTTTCACCTTTTCTCTTAAAGAAAGCACTTTACAGCTTCTCTTTGGCATATCTCAACTGCCAGCATCACTCCTCTTGAACTTTGGGGCCATTATTAAGTCAGAAAAGGGTTACTTGAAAACAAGCACTGAGATACCACCAGAGTCCATCTGATAACTAAGATGGTAACTACATGACTAACAGGCTGGTGACGTATACAGCATGGATATGCTGGACAAAGGGGTGAGTCATGTCCCAGGTAGGATGAAGCAGGGTGACTTGAGATTTCACTGTTTAGTATGGTGCACAATTTAAAACTTAGGAATTGTTTATTTCCTGGAACTTTTCGTTTAATATTTTTGGACTGCAGTTGACTACAGGTAACTGAAACTGTGGAAAGTGAGGATCGGAGGATAAGCAGGGACTGTGGTATTCATTTCATTGCACAGTGCCTAGAATACAGTAGGTGTACTATAAATATTTTGTAAAGAGACAACTTTTCTGAAACTAAAAATATTTATGTTTTACCCAATAATTTTTCTTCTGGAAATTTATGCTAAGGAAATATTCAGAGATGCTTACAAAGTTTTATGCATGAGTGTCCGTGTTATTTGTAATTGTGAAAAATGAAAATAACTCAAAAGTTTCAGTGGTCATCTAAAGTATTGTATACACTGTATATATAGGTTGAATAGAAGGTCATCCTATTCATTTATTAATGAGAGGTACAATCTCCAGGGATCTGTAAAATCTATTTTGTCTTAACCAAAGAACAAATTTTTGACATATCTTGAATAGGATGACTATAAATTATGACTTTTAAATTGTCGTAATTTTTGTACTATTATGTGATATTTTTATTTTTATGTATGTTCCTAAGTAGTTTAGAGATAGTCACATTTTAAAAATCCAAGATCAAACAAATGAATCTTATTTTTATGTATTCATAGTATAGAAGACCTTCAGTAAATAGATAATATTTTTGTTTTATTCTAGAAAACAGCTCCTTGAACACAGTGAGGTAAAGCTTTCATTTTAATCTCTGGTAGACTTGTGTATTAAATTCTAGTTTGAGGGTAATTGACAAAGGTATAACCTTGCTGCTGATGCACCATCAGTAGTGAGTTGTTCAGCATTGGTGATAAATTTCTGCTGATCCTTCTCACTCTTTCATCTGCTCTTACTTTTGAATAGTAATAAGGATTTAAAAGCTAGAAGGCTGATTTATGACTATACTACAGAATTAAATTAAATTGCATTCATTTAACAATAACAAGCATTTGGTTTCTAGCCTGCTGAGCTAATCAGCTACAGTCCATTGGGGCAGGCACCCTTGGCCCTGTGACTGGTGGCCATCTGCCACCACGTAGATTTGCTGGTCAGTCAGTGACAAGCTCAGAAGTGTTGAAGGATACAAAAGATACTAAAGTCATGTTCCTGCCCTTCGGTATGTGTAATTTTACAAAGGAGACAAATAAGACAACATTTTATGTCGTGTAAAATTATTTTGTGGCATAAAAAGGAAAAGATCAGTGTGGGCTGGAAATATTTCCTATTTGATAGAACTTTAAGTGGGTCTTGAGGTAAAGGTCAAATTTACAGGAGTGGGTAACTGAATTTGAACTTAATAGAGATAGTTTATGACACATGTTGAGTATCCCTTATCCAAAATGCTTAGGACTAGAGGCGTTTCAGATTTCAGATTTTATTGAATTTTGGAATATTTACAATGTAGTTACTAGTTGAGCATCCCTAACCTGAAAATCCAAAATCCAAAATGCTTCAATGAGCATTTGTTTTAGCATAACCTTTGAACATCATATTGGTACTCAAAAGTTTCAGATTTTGGAGCATTGTAGATTTCAGATTTTTGGATCAGGGATTCATTAGTAACTTTGTCACTTTACAGTGAGGCCCACTGTGTTGGTCCTCCGCCTCCTCAAACCACCTCCTCCTCTCCCTGCCTCCTCTGCCTGCTCCATTTTCTTGCCAACTGCACTTATTGCCTTACAGTAGACTATGTAATGGATTCATTTATTTGCTATTTCTATGTATTGTCTGTCTTTCATTACTAAATGTAGTTAAATGTAATACAAGGACAGAAATTGCTCACTGCTGTATCTGAAGCACCCTGAAGAGTACCTGGAACATAGTAGACATTTGATAAATTATTGTTGAATGAATACTGATAGGCTTATTACTAAGTTAGAAGATCCTTGTCTTAATGAATAATATAGTTTTAATGTACTTCATTAATTTAAAAATATGAAAAGTAAGAATGTGATTTTGTCTTATTTGTGTTTTTATAGCTGGCTTTTCACACATTGCAGTTGTTAGCATTTACTGCCCTTGCCATTTTAATTTTGAGGCTAAAGCTGTTTTTGACACAGCACATGTGTGTTATGGCTTCCTTGATATGCTCTTGACGGGTAAGGGATTCATTCTTGTATAACAATACTATAAAAACTATAGCAGCTATACTTAGTAGTTACCGTGGCTTTGCTGACTAATTCAAAATATAAACACACTAAGTGTTTTTAACTTAACTAAGTTAAATGATTTAAAATATTACTTCGTGATTCACTATAAGCAAGAAAAGCAATTTCAAGTGGCTTTGAAAAGTATTTCTGGATTTTAATTGATATTTCTATAACAAGTGATTAGGCAAACATTTCCCCTCTGTTAATATCCTGTCCATGAACATAACCTTTTAGAGTTCAGGTTTGTGTAAGAGTGCCTGGCACAGTGGCTCACACCTGTAATCCCAGCACTTTGGGAGGCCGAGATGGGCAGATCACTTGAGGCCAGGAGTTCGAGACCAGCCCGGCCAACATGGTGAAACTCCATCTCTACTAAAAATACAAAAATTAGCCGGGTGTGGTGGCGAGTGCCTGTAATTCCAGCTACTTGGGAGGCTGAGGCAGGAGAATCGCTTGAACCTGGGAGGCAGAGGCTGCAGTCAGCCAAGATCGCACCACAGCACTCTAACCTGGGTGACAGAGTGAGACTGTCTCAAAAAAAGAAAAAGAAAAAAAAAGAGTTTCCTGGTGGCCAGGCACAGTGGCTCCCACCTGAAATCCCAGCACTTTGGAAGGCCGAGGTGGGCAGATCACTTGAGGTCAGGAGTTCAAGATCAGCCTGGCCAACATGGTGAAACCCTGTCTCTATTAAAATACAAAAATTAGCCGGGCATGGTGGTGTGTGCCTGTAATCCCAGCTACTCAGGAGGCTGAGGCAGGAATATTGCTTGAACCTGGGAAGTGGAGGTTGAAGTGAGCTGAGGTCGCACCACTGCATTACAGCCTGGGAGACAGAGTGAGACTCTGCCTCAAAAAAAAAAAAAAAAAAAAAAAAAAAAGAGTTTCCTGGTTCACCAAAAGTACCCTGAAATACTCATCCAATACCAGAGTAGATGCAGAGTAATTGCTCTAATATGGTTCTGTTTGGCTCGAACAATCTATAAGAAATTCTGGGGTTCTATCACTGTTATCTAACATACAAAAGAACTAGATAAATTGCTAGAATATTGGGCCTAAGGTACTTCTACAAACACCTTACTTAGTTTTTATTATGAGTGTATAGCCTTAAAATATCATAATGCCTGTTTTCCTGAGAAGAATCTATATATATCATGCTAATAGGGCTTCCCTGTCTACTAACCATGTCCACAAAAGGCAGCCAAGGATGAAAGGATTTAGTTCTAAGATGTTTCACAGTTGTGATTTGTTTATTTTAATCCTTAGTAGTAAATTAGTACTAGAAGGATCAGGTATATCTTCCTTAATTCTTCCCAGGGGAGAGAAAGTTCTGTTTTCACCTGGGCCCTGTAATGCCAATATATTTGTTGCTTTAGAAACAATCGGAGATGATAATTCTGTATACATGTGTGCTGATATCAAAGGGTAATTCACATTGGTTTGAGTAACAAGGTGAGAATTTATTGTTGACCCTACAGTACTCTTCATATAAGAACTAGAAATAAATTGTTTCTTTTGTTTCAGCTCTTTGGCTGGCTTTTTCGCAGAGTTCGCAGAGAGAATGTTATCTTTGGCATTCTAACAGTGATGTCAATACAAGGTTATGCAAACCTCTGTAATCAATGGAGCATAACAGGAGAATTTAATGATTTGCCTCAGGAAGAACTTTTACAGTGGATCAAATACAATACCGTACCAGGTGTGTAGGTATTTGGTTATATGCTAGTTTTATACAAACATACTCACAGACACATTTGTGTATACTATATATAATTATTGTCATTTCTGATATATGTGTGTATGTATGTATGACAGATTTACAAATAGGCATTCATACTCTCACAGACTTTGAGCAGACTATTGCAATGTCAATCAATTAAACCCTTCCAAAAGGCAATTTTGTACTCCTTTTAAGCCCCTCCCAGATAATTATCAAAGAATTTAAATTAGCACCAGGAAATTAATGATTTTTCACAAGTTATGTCCTTTAACCCTCAGACAGCATTATAGCATTTTAACCATAACAATGACAAATCAAAGAAGTAAATCTTTAAAAATGAAATTTCACACCTTGTGCCAGGCTACAGCAGAAGATACTTTTGATGGTGGGGAGTTAGCTGGCACCGCTTCTGTCACTGCAATCAGTGCTGTCTCCTCTAATTCTGTAAAACAGGGCATTGGCAGAAGAGTTAAAATCTTGGATATTCTATTTTCTTCACTAAATCATCTCACAGAGATAGTATACATCCTACTTTTAAATACTCTAAAATTTTCTTTTTAGCTTACCCTCTTTTCTTCCTGTCTTTATTCAGAACTACCTCAAGCAGATAGATATTTTTAAATACTTTTCCAGAGAATAAGTCTATAACATTTTCTGTAACTAAATTTGTAAATCAAAGATTATTTTTGATATTTGGAAACTTACTCTGGCACAAGTTCTTCACTATGATTTATTTAAATTTTCTTATGACTCCTGAGCTTGTTTCATTTCTTATTTGATAGCCACTTTTTTTCTAATTAACCTTAATTAAGGTAAATCTTTATAAGCTTTAAGTAAGATATTTGGTCTATAGCTTTCAAAGGGTGTAGGTGACAGTGCCTCATTAAACTGCCAAGCCAGTTTAATTAGAATTTTAAAAGTAATCCCCAACTGACTTTTTCCACGTAGGAGCTCAAGGTAATCACTCCCTTTCTTTACTCTCCCTTGCCCCTCCCCAGTTATAGCCATTTTTCCCAAGCTATTAAAAATAGCTGCCCTTTTAATCTTTTCTTGTGTCTTTCTTTGTTCTGGTGTTTGTATTGGGTTCCTGACAGAGAGCCTACATTTGGCAACTTATCCTTCTAAGATAACTGCCACAAACCCCTGTCTCACTTTTAGATGCCTCTTCTTTGATCTTCTTTTCAATCTGTCTTATTCTCCTTTTTTAAATTTTATTTATTTTTTTATTATTATACTTTAAGTTTTAGGATACATGTGCACATTGTGCAGGTTAGTTATTCTCCTTTTAATTACTCTTATTATGAGTTATCTCATGGTTACCACATATTAAAAGCTGTATGAAGTTTTGTAGTATTAGTGGAACTAGTGCTTATATTGAGGTCTGCCATATACAGTTGTATAGTTTGTGCACTGCACAAAGGTGACCAATTGAGAGGATAAGTGAAAGCTTAAATCCAGCTTGTGGTCCACTCATCAAGCCATGTATAATGGGGCTCTGTCAAGTCAGGGGAATACCTTTTTCTAATCTGTGTAGTAGGCTAAATGGAGACTTCCATACAGTGACAGGAAAATATCTGATTTTTCCTTGTTATGCTCATTTACTTCACAGCCAAAAAGACAGAAGGTGGAGTGGGAGGGTATTTCTTCCTCTCCGTCTGCCATAGGTGACAACTCAGTGGGTCCAGCTCTTGCTGGACAGGTGTGCCTAGTTTTTTTTTGGAAGACCCTGGCCCTGGGCTTTCAATTCTTCTTGCTCAGCATTTCCCAACCTTAGCACAGTTGGCATTGAGGCTGTCCTATGTATTACAAGAAATCCTTGGCCTCTATCTACAAGATGCCAACAGCATCTCCTCCCTCCTCCCCATAGCATGACGTCGAAAAATGTCTCCAGAAGTTGACACTGCTCCCTAGGGAGCAAAATCATGCCTGCCTGAGAACCACTTCTCTAGCTTAACAGTTTGTGATCATTAATTATTGAGTCTCCATTAATAAATACACATTCTTTGACTAGCTTACATATTTTCAAATTTGAGGCATATAAAGAAATTTTCATTCAAAGTTGCATTTAGAATGCTTAGTTATACTGGAAAGTAAACACTCAGGGTTCTTAAAGTTTTTAATTTATGTGGGTACAGAGCAGGTGTATATATTTATGGGGTAGATGGGATATTTTGATACAGGCATACAATGTGTAATAATCACATCAGGGTAAATGGAGTATCCATCACCTGAAGCATTGATCCTTTGTGTTACAAACAATCCAGTTATACTCTCTCAGTTATTTTTAAATGTACAGTAAAATTTTGTTGACTATAGTCACCCTTCTGTGTTACCAAACACTGCATCTTATCCATTCTATTTTGTTTGTGCACATTAACCATCCTCACTTCCCCTCCACCCCCTCACTATCCTTCCCAGCCTCTGGTAACCATCATTGTATTCTTGATCTCCATGAGTTCAACTCTTTTAATTTTTAGCTCCCACAAATAAGAACCTGCAAAGTTTGTCTTTCTGTACCTGGCTTATTTCAATTAATGTAATGACCTCCAGTTCCATCCATGTTATGGATAGGATCTCATTCTTTTTTTATGAAAGGATCTCATTCGTTTTTATGGCTGAATAGCACTGCGTTGTGTCTATGTACCACATTTTCTTTATCCATTCACCTGTTGATGGACACTTAGGTTGCTTCCAAATCTAGGCTATTGTGAGAAGTGCTGCAATAAACATGGGAGTGCACATACCTCTTCTAAATATTTATTTCCTTTCTTTGGGGTATATATCTAAGAGTAGGATTGCTGGATCATGTGGTAACTCTATTTTTAGTTTTTTGAGGAACCTCCAAACTCTTTTACATAGTGGTTGTACTAATTTACATTTTCACCAAAAGTGTATGAGAGTTCCCTTTTCTCCACATCTTTTCCTGTCTTTTGGATAACAGCCATTTGTTATTGCCTGCCTTTTGAGTAATAGCCATTTTAACTGGAGTGAGATGCTATTTCACTGTAGTTTTGATTTGCATTTCTCTGATGATCAGTGATGTTGAGCACCTTTTCATGTACCTGTTTGCCACTTGTATGTTTTCTTTCGAGAAATGGCTATTCAGATCTTTTGCCCATTTTTAAAGTAGATTTTTAGATTTTCTTTTCCTACAGAGTTGTTTGAGCTCCTTATATATTCTGGTTATTAATTCCTTGTCAGATTGGTAGTTTGCAAATATTTTCGCTTATTCTTTGGGTTGTTTCTTCACTTTGCTGATTGTTTCCTTTGCTTTGCAGAAGCTTTTACACTTGATGTCATCCCATTTGTTCATTTTTGCTTTGGTTGCCTGTGCTTCCCAGGTATTTACTCAAGAAATCTTTGTCCAAACCAAAGTCCTGGAGAGTTTCCCCAAAGTTTTCTTGTAGTAATTTCAGAGTTTGAGGTCTTAGATTTAAGGCTTTAATCCATTTGGATTTGAGTTTTGTATATGGCAAGAGATAGGGGTGTAGATTCATTCTTCTGCATATGGATATTCAGTTTTCCCAGCACCATTTTTTGAAGAGATTGCCCTTTCCCCAGTGTATGTTTTTGGGACTGCTGTAAAAAATGAGTTTACTGTAGATGTATGGATTTCTTTCTGGGTTCTCCATTCTGTTCCACTGGTCTGTGTGTCTGTTTTTATGGCAGTACCATGATGTTTTGGTTACTATACTTCTGTAGTATAATTTGAAGTCAGGTATTGTGATTCCTTCAGTTATGTTCTTCTTGCTCAGGGTAGCTTTGGCTATTCTAGGTCTTTTGTGTTTTCGAATACATAAGGATCATTTTTTCTATTTCTGTGAGGAATATCATTAGTAGTTTGATGGGGATTGCATTGAATCTGTAGATTGCTTTGAATAGTATGGACATTTTAACAATATTGATTCTTCCAATGCTTGAACATGGAATAGCTTTCCATTTTTTGTATCTTCTTCAATTTCTTTCTCCAGTTTTGTATAGCTTTCATTCTAGAGATCTTTCATTTCTTTGGTTAATTTCTAGGTATTTAATTTTATATGTGGCTACTGTAAATGGAATTACTTTTTAAATTTTCTTTCTCAGGTTATTCTCTGTTGGCATATAGAAACATTAATGATTTTTGTATGATTTTGTATCCTACAACATTACTGAATTTATCAGTTCTAATAGTTTTTTTTTTTTTGTGGAGACTTTAGGTTTTTCTAAATATAAGATCATATCATCTGTGAACAATGATAATTTGGCCTCTTCCTTTCAAATTTGGATGCCCTTTATTTCTTTCTCTTGTCTGATTGCTCTAGTTAGGATTTCCAGTACTATGTTGAATAATGTGGTAAAAAGTGAGCATCCTTGTCATGTCCCAGATCTTAGAAGAAAGGCTTTCAGTGTTTCCTCACTCAGTATGATACTATGATACTACTTGTGCATTTGCTGTATATAGCTTCTTTATGTTGATTAATGTTCCTTCTATACCCAGTTTATTTGAAGGTTTTTATCATGAAGGTATGTTGAATTTTACCAAATGATTTTCCTGCATCTATGGAGATGAGATGATCATATGATTTTTCCTCTTGTGTTGATATGACATTGATTTGCTATGTTGAACCATCTTTGCGTCCCTGAGATAAATCCTATTTGGTCATGATGAATAATCTTTTTAATGTGTTATTGAATTCAGTTTGCTAGTATTTTGTTGAGGATTTTTACATTAACATTAATCAGAGATTTTAGCCCGTAGTTTTTTTTGATGGGTCTTTGTATGGTTTTGGTATTAAAGTGATATTGGTCTCATACAATGGGTTTGGAAGTATTCCTTCCTCCTCTATTTCCTGGAATCGTTAGAGTAGGATTGATATTAGTTCTTCTTTAAATGTTTGATAAAATTCAGCAGTGAAGCCATCAGGTCCTGGGCTTTTCTTTGCTGAGAGACTTTTCATTAGAGATTTGATCTCATTACCTGTGATTGTTCTGTTCAGGTTTTGGATTTCTATATAGTTCAATCTTGGTAGGTTTTATGTATCTAGGGATTTATCCATTTCTAGGTTTTCCAATTTATCGGCATACAGTTGCTCATGGTAGTCTCTGATGATCCTTTAATTTCTGCAATATTGGTTATAATGTCTCCTTTTATTATCTCTGATTTTATTTATTTGGGCCTTCTGTCTTTTTTTCTTAGTCTGGCTAAAGGTTTGTTAATTTTATCTTTTCAGAAAACCAGTTGATCTTTTATACTGTTTTCTTCATTGCAATTTCATTTATTTCTGCTCTGATCTTTATTATTTCATTTCTCTTACTAACTTTGGGTTTTGTTTGCCCTTTTCTAGTTTTTTAAGATGCATCATTGAGTTGTTAATTTGAGGTTTTTCTTCTTTTTTGATGTGGGCACTTACAGCTACAGACTTCCCTCTTAATACTGCTTTCGCTGTATCCCATAGGTTTTGATGTGTTGTGTTTTCATTATCATTTGTTTCAAGAACATTTTCAATTTCCTTCTTAATTTCTTTATTAACCCACCGGTCATTCAGGAGCATATTCTTGAATTTCTATGTTTGTAGAGTTTCCAAAATTCCTTTTGCTACTGATTTCTAGTTTTTTTTCCATTGTGGTCAGAGAAGATACATTATGTTGTTTCAATTTTTAAAAAATGTTTTAAGGCTTGTTTTGTGGCCTATCCTTGTTTTGTGGTCTATCCTTGAGGAATGAGCCATGTGCTGAGGAGAAGGATGTGTATTCTGTAGATGTTGGATGAAATGTTCTGTAAGTATCTGTTAGGTCCTTTTGATCTATAGTGCAGATTAAGTTCAGTGTTTCTTTGTTGATTTTCTGTCTAGATGACCTGTCCACTGCTGAAGGTGTGGTGTTGAAGTCTCAGGCTATTATTGTATTGGGATCTGTCTCTCTCTTTTGCTCTGATAATATTTGCTTTATGTATCCGGGTGCTCCAGTATTGGGTGTATATATATTTACAATTGTTATATACTCTTGCTGAATGAACCCCTTTATCATTATATAATGACCTTCTTTGTCTCTTTTTATAGTTTTTGTCTTGTAATCTATTGTGTCTGATACAAGTATGGCTATTCCTGCTCTTTTATGGTTTCCATCGGCATGGAATATAATTTTCCATCCCTTTGTTTTCAGTCTATATTTGCCTTTATAAGTAAAGTGTGTTTCTTGTAGGTAACAGATTCTTAGTGTTTTGTTTTATTATTCAGCTACTCTTTGTCTTTTGATTGGAGAGTTCAGCCCATTTACCTTCAGAGTTATTATTGTTAAGGACTTGCCCCTGCCATTTCGTTATTTGTTTTCTCATTGTTTTGTGGTCTTCTCTTCCTTCCTCTTTTTCTTTCATTGAAGGCGATTTTCTCTGGTGGTGTGTTTTAATTTATTGCTTTTTATTTTTTGTACATCAATTGTATGGTTTTAAACCTGAGGTTGCCATGAGGCTTGCAAATAATATCTTATAACCCATTATTTTAAACTGATGACAACACTGATTGCATAAACAAATGAGCCAAAAGAAAGCTAGTAAAAATTCTAAACTTTAACTTCATCTCCCGACTTTTTACCTTTTTCTTGTTTCTATTTATATCTTATTGTACTGTCTCTTGAAAAGTTGTTGTAGTTATTTTTTATTGGTTCATCTTTTTGTCTTTCTACTTATCATATAAGTAGTTTATATACCATAATGACACTGCTATAATATTGTGTTTCTCTGTGTACTCACTATTACCAGTGAGTTTTGTACCTTCCGATTATTTCTTCCTCATTAAGGTCCTTTTCTTTCAGATTGAAGAACTCCCTTTAGCATTTCTTATAGGATAGGTCTGGTGTGAATGAAATTTCACAGCTTTTGTTTCACTGGGAAGTCTTCTCCTTTAGGTTTGAAGCACATTTTCTCTGGATACACTACTCTCAGGTAAAAGGTTTTTTCCTTCACTTTAAATATGTCATGGCATGCTTTCCTGGCCTGTAAGGTTTCCACTGAAAAGTCTGCTGCCAGATCTATTAGATCTCCATTGTATGTTATTTGTTTCTTTTCTCTTGCTGCCTTTAGGATCCTTTCTTTATCCTTGATCTTTGGGAGTTTGATATTAAATGACTTGAGTTAGTCTTTGGGTTAAATCTGCTTGATGTTCTATAACCTTCTTGTGCTTGAATATTGATATTTTCTCTAACTTTGAGAAGTTCTGTTGTACTTTTGAATAAACTTCCTACTGCTGTCTCTACCTCCTCTTTAAGGCCAATAACTCTTAGATTTTTCCCTTTAAAGGCTACTTCTAGATCTTGAAAGTATGCTTCATTCTTTTTTATTCTTTTTTCACCTCCTCTGTGTATTTTCAAGCAGCCTGTCTTTAATTTAAGCTCACTAATTCTTTCTTCTGCTTGATCAGTTCTGCTATTAAGAGACTGATACATTCTTCAGCATGTCAGTTGCATTTTTCAGCTCCAGAATTTCTGCTTTTTAATTATTTTGATTTATTTGTTAACTTTATCTGATAAGATTACTAATTCCTTCTCTGTGTTACCTCGAATTTCGTTGACTTTCCTCAGCACAGCTATTTTGAATTCTCTGTCTGAAAGGCCACATATCTCTGTCTCTCCAGGATTGGCCCCCTAGTGCCTTATTTAGTTTGTTTGGTGAGGTCATGTTTTCCTGCATGGTTTTGATGCTTGTGGATGTTTGTCGGTGTCTGGGCATTGAAGAGTTTGGTATTTATTATAGTTTTTGCAGTCTGGGCTTGTTTGTACCCATCCTTGTTGGAAAGGCTTTCCAGGTATTCAAAGGGACTTTGGTGTTGTGATCTAAGTTTCTGGTCGCGGCGGCTGTATCTGCACTAGGAGGCACCCCATGCCCAGTAATGCTGAAGCTATTGCAGACTCTTAGAGGTACTACCTTGGTGGTCTTGGATAAAATCCAGAATTCTCAGGATTAGCAGGCAGAAGCTCTTGTTCTCTTCCCTTACTCTCTCCCATATGGAGTCTCTCTCTCTCTCTTTCTCTGTGCTAAGCTACCTGGAGCTGGGGGTGGGGTGATATAAGCATCTCTGTGGCCACCACTACTGGGAATGTGTTGGGTCAGACCTGAAGCTAGCACAGCACTGGGTCTTACCCAAAGCTCATTGTAACTACTGCCTGGCCACCACCTAAGTTTGCTCAAGGTGTAGGGCTCAACAGTCAGCAGGTGGCAAAGCAAACCAGGCTGGTGACCTTCCCTTCAGGGTGGCAAGATCCCCCAGGTCATAGTCAGGTCCAGAGATGCTGCTGTCCAGGAGCCAGGGCCTGGAGTCAGACACCTTAGAAATCTACCTGATGCTCTACTCTACTGCAGCTGAGCTGGTGCTGAAACCACCAGACAAAGTCCTTCCCACCCTTCCTTCCCCTTTCCCCAGGCAGAGTGGTCTCTCCTCATTTCCACCACTACCACAGGCCCGTGGGAGGTAATGCCTGGCTACCGCCAACATTCACTTAAGGCTGAAGGACCTTTCAGTCAGCTTGTGGTGAGTGCTGCCAGGCCTGGAACTCACCCTTCAGGGCAGTGGGCTCTCTTCCAGCCCAGGGCAGGTCCAGAAATGCCACCCAAGAGCCAAGGCCTGGAATCGGGGACCACAAGAGCCTGCTTGGTGCTGCTCCCCACTGAGGCCAAGCTGGTACCTAAGCTGATTTTTGGTTCTTATGAAAGTGCTTTTTGTGTAGATCGTTATCAAATTTGGTGTTCCTGAGGGGAGGATGAACAGTGGAGGCTTCTACTTGGTCATCATGCTCCACCTCCTCTCCAACATAGTTTTTTATAGTAGATCTGAATAATATGTCTTATCTTTATTACTGATTTTATTGTGCTGATTAAAAATGATAGTAACCTTCACAATTATGTAATTGTTTTTTATACAAAAGTACCAGGAAGTAAGCATTTGGTCTTCTGGTATTTCAAGAGATGAAATGGAAGCCAGATAGATTTTGATGTATCTCTATTTATGACCAAATTTATACATGTTATTACTCCAAAAAGTACTACTAGCAAGTAATGAAATGATTTCATGGCATGTATAAATGGTGTCAAGTCAAATGGTAACTCTGAGAACTGAAAGATGATCTGAGGGAAGAAAACAATGCTTTCCTTTTTTATGGCACATCCACAGGACCACAGTTCACCAGCCACAAAAGTCATTTGAAAAAATGTCCCATGAGACTTGCCCTTCATAGCAGTCTCTCAGTTCCTGGCATTTCACATTATTGGAACAGATGTGACATTTTACATTCTTTTTGTTTCATGTGTGTCTGTAGTCCTGCTGTTAGCATGGTGCTCTAGCATAGCAGGAAGCTTTAGTGAAGCAGCTAAGAGGGCAGGCTCTGGAACTTCCTAGCTGTGCAGTCTTGGACAAGTCACTTAACTTGGCTGTGTCTCTTCATCATCTACAACAGCAGTCTGCAACCTTTTTGGCACCAGGGACTAGTTTCGTGGAAGACCATTTTTTTCCACAGAACTGGGGGGTAGGGGGTGGTTTCTGGATGAAATTGTTCCACCTCAGACCATCAGGCATTAGATTCTAATGAGTGCATAACTCAGACCCCTCACATGCTCAGTTTGTAGATTTTACAAAGTAAGAACAGAGGACCTACCCCTTAGAATTGTGAAAATTAAGTGATTTCTTGTTAAAATATGGAGCACAATTTCTAGCACCCAGATAGCATTTAACAAAAGTCAGCTATTATTATAGTAGATAATGAATAACTATTGAGTTAATAAAAAGAATGAGGTCCATGATCATGTAAATAGGCATCATCCTTCTTAATTTGGGTTCACATATTAGAGGTAAGTTTAACTTCTGATTTTCTTTGAAACATTTAATTGAAGAATATATCCTTTTTTTTTTTTTCAGATGCTGTCTTTGCAGGTGCCATGCCTACAATGGCAAGTGTCAAGCTGTCTACACTTCATCCCATTGTGAATCATCCACATTACGAAGATGCAGACTTGAGGTTGGCAGCTGATAAGTATTTCTTCAAGACTCACTTGGCGACTCCCAATTCTTAGGAACTGGGAAAATTTTTACACACACACACACACACACACACACACACACACACACACAAACTCATCCTCATTTTCATACTGGAAGTTAAAAAAAGTGACAATAACCATCCAGAAATGATGTGTGTGTGTATTCCAGTAAAACTACTAGGTAGTTGGAAGAGTAGGTAGGACGGATTTTACTCACAGCCATGGTTTGCCAACCCCTGCTCTACACCAGAAGCCCCACTCTGATTTAAGAAATGATTTCTAGATCTTACTGGTGGCCAATGACTAGCTTTTTGTGACAGGTAGAAAAAATACATGAAATTTGCTATTATATATTACGTGCTTTCATGAAAATTTAGAGTATTTTTGCTAGTCGATTATGAGAACTCTAGTTTCCATTGATGTCTAAAAGTTTTGCTTACCTTAAATGGCTGGTTTAAAAAATTATTTTGGTTATTCTAGTAGTTGTCAGGGTAATCGTTTTTAAAAGTGGATTTTTGGCCTATTGTTAGAGGCAAATGTTTAAATTATTTAAAAGTTTTAGGTCTGCTGTCTAGGAGCCAGGGCTTGGAGTCAGACACCTTAGAAATGTACCTGATGCTCTCTCTGTTCTACTGCGGTGAACTGGCATGGAAACCACTGTGGTGACTGAGCATTCCATATGCTTGAAATTCTAAGCAACATCCAATGCATAAGTGATAGTTTGTTAGGATTTTGTAAGAACTCCCACTATGGTCAAATCACCTATTGTACCATATTTTGGTGACCATCCCCATTTCTCAAGACTCTGTGAAGGTGCTTTTCCTACCTCTTCTGACACCCTGGATGCCCATTGTCTAAGTGTTCTACTTGATACACTAAATTTCAATTCATGTATTTGTCAGAGCTTCTTTAGATGAAATTAAGCATTGAAAGATGTGTTTTCACTACATTCAGTCTCTGTCAGAATATAGTCTCTGAAAACTGTGTGAATTATGAGAAGAAAATTGTATATCCTAAGCTGCTCTCTGCTACCCAGTACAACTTTACACTATCTTATACAGTAATGAGCAGTATATGCAAAATTAAATTGCTGTAAGTTTTATTACATTCAAAATATAAGTAGGAATGTGGAAACTGCCATCCCCAAAATAATTGATGCTGTTTTGAGTCATGTATATCAGTGTTCCATCCAGTGAGTATTGAGATTTCAATTTGCTAGTAAGATTTTTTTAGTCTATTCTATTATCATTTATTTTAAAATCTTTTAAAATATTGTTTAAATTTAAAGGGCTTGGACAAAAATAGTTTATTCTACATATAGTGGAAAATCTGCCAAAGAAGTAAGAGATAAATTGTTGGAGTTACATGTGAATTATTATGTTTTAGAAGAGGCATGGTGTGTTGTGAGAACTAAGTGAGTATTAAACCTATGCTATCTGATATGGTATATTTTTGAGCAACAAATGTTTCACTTTATTACAGTAGTCCTGATTCTTTAAGAATTTTTATTTTAAATTTATTAAAATATTATCCTGGTACCTTAGTTTAAATTATTTCATCTAGAGACATAAAACTATATTATCAATGAAGTAGAATTTAATTCCAAACATTATAGTATATTTAATATCCTGATTTTTCAATTTAACATCTTCCACTTAGCTTTTTTCATAATTTTTGAAATATTTATGAAAATTTTTATTAGATATCTGTAATATGGATTTGAATTTACAACAAAGTGAGATATTGGCATTCTGTATTATAGCTGAATTATATTGGATTTGTAAGACTTAAAAGAAAAGTGACAAAACCCAAAATGACCTAAGGAAAACATTCCTAATTAAAATTTTTTAATTTCTGAATTTTGAATCTCTAAAAATCATAAAATTCTAAGATGTGTAATTGATCTTATGAGTCCTTTGTTTAGGCTCCTAAGCACAGATATTAGCTGCTGCACATGACAGGAAATTCAGGCACATTAATTGTCTCCTAGAATGACACATTGGCAATCAGAAGAACAAAACAGGTTCTACGGTCACTTCAAAATATCATTTAAAATGTGCAAAAAGTTTCAGAGATTCAAACTAAAATGAGAAAGTATGACCAATACTCTGAAAAAAATAAGTTAATAGAAACCGATTCAAGTAGGTCCAGATGTTGGATTTAGCAGCCAAAGACTGCAAAGCCACTATTACAAATACATTCAAAGGCTTAAGAAAAATGTATTCAATGAATTAAAAGAAAACATGGTATCCATGAGTGAAGAGCTATGGAATCTCAGCAGAGAAATAGAAACACTCCAGCCCCCATGGAAATTCTAGAGCTGAAAAGTATAATAAATAAAATGAAAATCATTTAAATGTACTCAACAACAATTTTGAGATGAAAACAGAACATTTGAACAGAAAATGCAGTGAATTTGAAGATAGATGAAGAGAGGATAGTTAATCAAAAGAACAGGAGCCAAAAAGATTGAAAAATAACCAAAGTCACAGACCTATGTAACATTAAGTAGTTCAACACATGCATAATTTTAGTATTAGATGTAATGAAAAAAAGAACATGACCGAAAAAATATTGAAGAAATGTTGGCCGAAAATTTCTCAAGTTTGATAAAAGCTACTAACTTAGAGATCCGCTAAGCTCAACAAATCCAACTGGGTGAAGCCCAAAGAAAACCAAAGCAAGGAACATTACAGTCAAAACGGTAAAATCAAAGATTAAGAGAAAAATCTTGAAAATAAGAGAAAAAAAGATATGCTATATAAACATCTGACTTCCCAACATAAATAGTGGAAATTATCCGACACTGGAATGATAATTCAAAGTGCTGAAGATGAAAAATCAAGAATTCTATATTTAATGAAACTATCTTTTTAAAATGGAGGCCAAAAATACATTTTTCAGATCAACAAAATCTAAGATAATTTGTTGGTAACAGATTTATACTTCAAGATGGACAAGAAGTTCTATCAGCTGATGAGAAATGATGCCAGATGGTAACTCAGATATACAAGAAATACTGAAATGCGCTGGAAAAGGTAAATATGTGGATATTAATCACTATACGTTTTTCTTCTCTGAAAATCTTTAAAAGACATTATTTAAGGCAAAAGTGATACCATTATATTTTTTAGTTTATGACAGAAATTAAATATACATGACAATAGCACAAAAATTGAGTAAACCGTGGAAATGTACGATTTACTAGAAATAACCCAATTTAAATGGTAAGTAAATCATGATATGTTAAAGATGCTTGTTGTCATCCCTATCAAAACCACTCAAAAAATAAATAAAACAGTGGGGAAAAAAAGAGCATAATGGCAAGCCTAGATATGGATGAGCCTGGATACATTAAGTGAAATAAGTCAGACACAGAAAGATGAATAGTGCATGTTGTCACTCATGTGGAAGCTCAAAGAAGTAGCTCATAGAAGTAGAGTAGAATTGTGGTAATTAGAGGCTGAGTGGGAAGGGTAGGGAGGAGAAGAAGATAAGGAGAGGTTGGTTAAGAGATAAAAAACTACAGATAAATAGAAGGAATAAGTTACAGTGCTCTCTGGCACTGTAGAGTGAATATTAGTTAACAGTAATTTATCGTTATATGTCAAGAAAGCCAGAACAGAGGATTTTGAATGTTCCCAGCACAAACAGATGGTAAACGTTTGTGGTGATGGATATCCTAATTACCCTGATTTGATCATTACACATTGTAATTATGCATTGAAATATCACTCTATACTTCATAAATATGTACAAGTATTACTTGTCAACTGAAACTAAAAGGGGAAAAAAACTAAACATATAACTAACTTAAGACCCAGCAATTGTATTGGGCATTTTTTCCCAGAAAGGTGGAAAGTTGTGTTCACACAAAATTCTGTAGAAAAATGTCTATAGCAGCTTTATTTGTAATAGCCTAAACCTGAAACAACCAAGATGTTTTTTGCAAGGTGAATGATTAAATAATAGTGATCTATTCATACCATGGAATACTGCTCAGCAATAGGATCAAACTATTGATACACTCAAGATCCTGGATGAATCTCCAGAGAATTGTTTGAATGAAGAAAAGACAATCCCCAAAGGTTACCTACTGTATGATTCCATTTGTATAACTGTCTTCAAATGACAAAATTATAGATATGGATGATTTGTGGTTGCAAGGGGTTAGGGTGGGGTGGGAATGTGGGGGAAGTATAGTATGTGTGGCTATACAAGGGATCTCTATGGTGATGGAAATGCTCTCTATCACCATTCTATCAATGTGAATTATCTGGCTGTGATATTATACAAATGTTCAAGATGTTACCATGGCAGAGGACACTGTCTAAAGACTGTACAAGAGCTACTTGTATTATCTCTCACTTAATGTGGATCTCCAAATGTCTTGAAATAAAAAGTTTTTTTAAAAAAACAAAAGAGCACTATAGCAAGCCTATATCAAACCATATCAGTAATTTCAAAGTGAAAGAGGACTAAATTCTTCCTAACAAAAGGTGGAGATTGGCAAACTGAATACAAGAGCAAAACCTATCTATGGACTGCCTGCAAGAGGTGCATTTTAAATATAGATATGTATATTGGCTGAAGGAAAAAGAATGGAAAAGATATCATGTGAGTAAACATTAGAAAAGCTGAAGTGAAAAATGTATAAATATCAGAGAAGATAGATGTTAAGACAAAGAATATTACTAGAAACAACTATGTTTTATAATGCAAAATAGTTCAGTACAGGAGAAAGATACAATAATTTGAGTGCATATGAACTTAAAAGAGAATTTCAAAATAAATGAAGCAAAAATTGACAGAACCCAAAAGGCAACAAACAAGATTAAAATGGAATTATAAAAATCACTCAATCCAAAATAAGGCAGAAGAAGCGGAAAAGGGAGATGACGATCAGATGGAACAAAGAGAAAACGCTGAGATGACAGACTTAAATCTAACCATATTAATTATCACATTAAGTGTAAATGGACTTGTGGTAGGCTGAATAATGAGCCCCCCACGATGGCCATGTCCTAATTCCCAGAAATTGTGAATTACGTTACTCACATGGAAAAAGGAAATTTGCAAATGTGATTAAATTAATGCTCATGAGATGTGGAGATTATCCTTATTATCCAGGTAGGGCAAATGTAATCACAAAGTCTTTATAAGGAGGAGGCAAACGAGTAAGAGATCAAAAAGGCGATGTGATGGTAGAAGCAGAAGTTCGAGTGATATAAGGCCACAAGCCAAGGAAGGAGGCCAGCTTCTAGGGCTGGAAAAGGCAAGGAAGTGGATTTTCTTCTAGAGCCTCCTGAAGGATTGGAGTCCTGCCAATACTGTGATTTTAGACTTATGAGCTCCAAAATTTGAAAGAGAATAAATATATGTTGCTTTAAGCAACTGTTTGTGGTAATTTGTTATAGCAGCAATAGGAAACGAATATAGCTCTAAACACCACAAATGAAAAGCAAGAATTGTCAGATTGCATAGCAAAGCAAGACCCTACTATAGGCTGCTTTCAAGAAATTTACTTAAATATAAAGAAACGAAGAGGTTAAAAGTTAACAGATAGGAAAAGGACATGTGATGCTACTACTTGTCAGTGAAAGCTGGTGTGACTGTAATAACATCACAGTACATTTGAATGCTAAGAATATTATCAAGGTTAAACAAGGATTTTTAAATGAAGAAGGGATCTATATTTCAAGAGGATGTGGCAACCCTGAACATTTATGCACTTAGATAACAGAGCTTCAAAAATATGAAACACAACTGATAGAACTTTAGGAAAAAATAGACAAATCTACAGTATAGTTAGAAATTTTAATAGCCTTGTCTAAATAATTTGTAGAACAAATAAAAAGAAATTTGGCAAGAATATGGAAGACTTGAATGACGCCATCAACCAATATGACCTAATTGACATTTATAGTACACACCACCCTAGAACAGCAAAATAGACATTCAAGCACACGCAGACTATTTATCAAAAAAGACTATTTTCTAGGCCACAAAGCAAGTATTGACACATTTAAAATACTTTAGATCATGTAAAGTACAATCTCTGACTACAATGAAATTAAATTAGAAATCAGTAACAGAATTCTATACGGAAATTCCCTCAAATGTTTAGAAACTAAGTAGTACACTTCCAGATAATCCATGGTCAAGAAGAAACAAAAGGAGGGTTAGTTTCAACGTATGTTGACCTAAGGGAAAATGAGAACACCATCCCGCTGTTTGTGGGATGCAGATACAGCAGTAGAGAGATTTGTTTTTATGTTGAATGCCCATAATAGAAAAAGAAGAAAGGCCTCATATCAGTCACTCAGCTTCACCTTAAGGAACTAGAAAAATAAAAGAATAAGTAAACTCCAAAGTAAGGAGAAGAAAAAGAAAGCATAAAGATTAGAATCAAAATCAGTGTGTATTTCCTCCCCAAACAGGGAAAAGTCAGTAAAACCAAACACTGATTCTTGAGAAGATTAATAAAATTGATAAATTCCTACCCAAACTAAAAGATTGAAGACAGAAATTACTAGTATCAGGAATAAGAAAGATTTTATCACTACAGGATCTGAAGAAATGAAAAGGATAATGAGGGAGTTTTAGGAACAACTTTATTCCACTAAGTAGGACAAAATAGATAAAATGGACAAGTTCCTTGAAAGATGCAAAATCAAAGCTCACTTAAGAAATAGAAAATCTTATATCTATTACCTTATTATGAATGACCTTGTATCTATTAATAAAATTATATTTGTAGTAAAAAGAATTGTCACAAAGAAAACTTTAAGACAGATATCTTCACTGGAAATAATTCCAATTCTACAAACTATTCCAGAAAATTCAAAAGGAGGGATTACTTCCCAACTGGTTCTGTGAGGTCAGCATTATCCTGATACCAACATGAGAGAAACATTACAATAAAAGGAAACAACCAATCAAAATTTATCATGAACACATGTGTGAAGTTTTTAAGTAAAATTGCAACAAATGAATCCAGCAATATATTAAAGAAAGACAATACATAATGTGCAAGTGGAGTTTATCCCAGGAATGCAAAGTTGTCTCACTATTTGAAAACCAATCAAGTGAATTCACCATAGTAACAAACTGAGAAAGAAAGACCGCATCATCACGCATCATCCTCTGAGTACATTCAGGAAAAAGTATTTGACACAATTCAGTATCCATAACTGATTAAAAACCCTCAGCAAACTAGGAGTAGAAGGTAACTTGCTACTAAGAATCTAAGAATATAAAATTTCTAGAAGAAAATATGGAAGAAAATTATTGTAACCTTGGATTAGGCTAAGATTTCTCAGATACAGTAACATAATCATGATCCACAAGAGAACACATTGATAAATAGGACTTCATTAAAACTGTAAACCTCTGCTTTTTTATAAACAGTATTAGGAAGAATTAAAAGATAAACCACAGTCTGGGAGAAAATATTTTCAAAGCCTATGTCTGATAAAGGACTTTTTCTAGATGTATAAAAAACTCTCAAAACCCAATAATAAGAAAACAACCCAATTAAAAATGGACAAAACAGGCCGGGCGCAGTGGTTGGCTCACGCCTGTAATCCCAGGATTTTGGGAGGCTGAGGCGGGTGGATCACCTGAGGTCAGGAGTTCGAGATCAGCCTGGCCAACATGACTAAACCCCATCTCTACTAAAAATACAAAAAGCCAGGCGTGATGGTGGGCGCATATAATCCCAGCTACTCGGGAGGCTGAAGCAGGATAATTACTTGAACCCAGGAGACGGAGGTTGCAGTGAGCCGAGATTGTGCTGTTGCACTCCACTGGGCGACAGAGCAAGACCTTGTCTCAGAAAAAAAAAAAAGAAAAGAAAAAAAAAGGGACAAAGGGACAGATGGCAAATAATCACACAAAAAGATGCTTGATGTTACTAGTGATTTGTGAAATGCAAATGAAAATTACAGTGAGATGTAACTAAACACTTAATAAAATAGCTATAACTGAAAAAAGAACTGCCAACTGTTGCTGACACTATGGAGGACTTAGAACTCTCATACACCAGTGGTGCAAAAGTAATATGGTACAACCACTCTGCAAGACAGTTTAGCAATTTTATAAAAAGTTAAACATACAACTACTGTATTTATTAAAATAAAAGAAAGCACATATCCATCCCAGGAATTGTACACAAATGTTCATAGCACTTTATTTTCTGTATTAGCCCCAAACTGGAAACAATCCACTTATTTATCAGCAGATGAATGTATAAACACACTATTAGAATATCCAAACAATGTAAATATTACTCACTAATAAAAATGAACGAACTATTGATACAGCAATATGGATGGATCTCAAAATAATTCTACTGAGGACAAGAAGCCAGACAAAAAAGAAAGCATGCAATAATTAGGATTACAAAAGGGCAGAAGTAAACTTTTGGGAGAGATGGATATGTTCATGATTTTTATTGTGGCTGCTGTTTTACAAGTGTATACCTATGTTAATATGTATCCAAGTGGATACTAAATATGTGCAGCTTATTGAGTAATTATTGAGCAATTATGCCTTAATACATCTGCTAAAAAAATCTGGCAGACTTTTACCCAGAATATACAAAGAACTCTCACACCTCAATAAGAACCAACACAAAATTTGGCAAAATATTTGAATAGAAATTTCACCAAAGAAGATATTTTGAATCATCCATAACCATACTATAACGATTAAAATTACAAAAACTGATACAACTTAAACTCTCATGCATTGTTGGTGGAAATGGAAAATGGTGCATCTACTCTGGAAAACAGTTTTGAACTTGCTTATAAAGATAAATCCACACTTAATCATACATAACCATGCAACCCAGCAATTCCACTCCTAGGTGTTTCCCTAAGAGAAATGATAACATATGTCCACAAAAAGCCTTGTCCGTGAATGTTTATAGTGGCATTGTTCATGGTCACCAAAAACTCAAAACATCTCAAATGTTCATTAACTTGCAAATGGATAAACAAATTGTGTTCTCTATATACAATGAAATATTATTTAGCAACAAAAGGGAAGGAACTACTGAACCACAACAGAAGTTGTAGGAACTACAGCTCAGATATGAATATCAAAAACATGCTATGGTAAAGAAGCCAAAAATGAAAAGACTACATAATATATTTATATGAAATTCTAGAAAAAGCAAAACTGTAATGCAGAAAGCACAGTAGTTGCCTGAGGCCATGTTTGGGGAAGATGGTAGATTGCAAAAGGGCACAGGGAACTTGTGGGGGTGATGGAAATTTTCTGTATTATGATTGTGGTAGTGCTTACACATGTATACACATTTGCCCATACCTGGCAAACTTTACACATAAAATAGGTGAAGTTTTATTGTGTATAACTTATACTTCAATATAGATGTTAAAAAATTAGAAATCAATTTTGTCTGACTCCTTCCCTTTAATGACTGCCATGCAGGATTACTCTCTAGGGAGGAATAGTGTCTCATTTAGCCCAGTCATAGAGCCACCCAAAATGGGAAAGCATTGAAGAAAACAAATTGCCGTAAGAGTCTCCTGTCCCTGCCTTGGATCATTTCATGCTAATCCAAGGCAGTTTATGCTAAAAAATGTGAAATTCATCAGGAATTCGATTAGGTTTTAATTTGTCTTATTTTACTACAAATGGGCCTTATGTTTAGATGGTGATGGCACTTGGAAATTATATTTATGTTTGTTTCATCTTGAAAGTGTGCTTTTACATATATATTTATGAATGTATATTGAAGCTTTATTATTAGGATATGTCTTTCATTTGGTCAAATGAGATGCGAAAATGCAACGTGCTTAATTTCATTCTATTTTTTAAATTTCTAAACATTGAAATTGTTTTTTGAAATGACGCTTTAAAATATTTAACTTATGAAATAAATTTGTCTCTGAAAATCTAGATGTTGTGTTATGTATCTATTTTCTCTAGACAGGAATACATTTCTAATATGGATATATATGTCTGTCTTTTTTCAGGCCTGGTTGCAGCATGCTTGAAATCTGGGATGTGGAAGACCCTTCCAATGCAGCTAACCCTCCCTTATGTAGCGTCCTCCTTGAGCCGAGATTGTGCCACTGCACTCCAGCCTGGGCGACAAATCAAGACCCCGTCTCCAAAAAAAAAAAAAACAAAACTTGATTGGGATCCAAAATCATACAACTATACACTAAAATCAGTGAATATTACCTTATGTAAATTAAAAATTAGGAAATCAAAAGAAAAGCATACATATAAAAAACAGTTTTTTCTAAGCATTTCTCATTTGTAGGGTGTTTGAATTACGTTGTATGTTGTCTCATTTCACCCCCATAACAAATCTATGAAAGAGGTACTTTTATCCCCATGTTAACGTGAATAAACCCAGGTTTGGAAAAGTTGAGAAACATACTTACTGTCATATAGTTAACAAGTGACCGAGCAGGGATGTGAAGCCAGATTCCTCTGACTCCAAGGTCTGAGTTCTTCCTCCTGCACAGTGGTCAATTGGCTAGATCCACATAAACAGCATGCACAAACTCACCACTCACACATACATACCCACAGACACACACCACACAGATGGGATACATCTCACAATCACATATATGGAATGAGTGATATGCAAATATAAAATTGCATTATTTTTATATTATTCTCATTTTATATAAATCCTACCACGAGGCATAGTCTGTCTCATTCATTCATTCATTTATCCATCCCTTCATTTATTCCCTCATTTCCTCAGGAAATAGCTTCCTTTGTGGCAGGTGCTATTCCAGACTCTGGAGATACTACAGTAAACAAAACAGAATAAACTCAAAAACTCTAAAATGCAACAATAAAAAACAAGGAAATTTCAAAAAGGATCAAAGTTTTGAACAGACCTTTCAACTGAAATATATATGTAGTTAATACACACACAAAAAACAAGTAAATAACAAGTGGGATATTTGGTAGTGACAAGGGCTATGAAGAAACACTAAAGCAAAGTAAGAAGAGTGAGTAAGAGGAGGAACTGTTTTAGAGACAGTGACCGGGGAGGCCTCTCTGCGAAGGGGAATTGAAGCACAGAATGGATGGAAGAGAGGCAGGGAGTATTGGGAAGGTCTGGGAGAAGGTTTTTCCCGGACACAGGAATAACCAGGAGAAGCCCCTGAGGCAGGAGTTGCTTGGCATGTTTGAGGTACAGCCAGTGGGCTGCTCGGCTTGGGTGAGCTTGCAGGGCTGAGAGTGGGAGGAAGCCAGGGAAGCTGTAGAACTTTCCTACTTACAGTGCGTAATTGTAGCTGTTCTTCAATTCTCCAGTATAAGTGTATCTCCCTGGTTAATTGCAAATTATTTACAGGACCATGCTTTCTATTTTTTAAATGAATCTCAGTCTGTACCTGGCACTTCACTGGGCATGGAGCTAATGCCAAATAAAAACGTGATGGTTGATGAGTGCTGTTCATACACATTTCCCAGTGGTTCTACCCCCGGAAGGCAGCTATGTGATCAATAAATAGGACGCTAGGAGAGTGGGAATTTCCAGCAGTGCTTCATACTGTCACCTTTGAGACCTATAGAGAGTTCTGCTGAGGGCAAGGTTTTGTGGTATAGGAGGTCATCCTGATGAGGGTTTTTGTTTTTTTTTTTAAATGGTGGCTTTTAGCGTAAATTGGCAGGGATTGATCAGGTGTTTCCTCTGGGCTAATGCTCCTTAGGGATCATGGGATGTGGTCTGCACACTCAACTGAGAAGGTCCAGTAATGGCAAGGCAGTCACCAGGGGACCCATGTCCTCAGAGGACCTGGCTCCTCAGAGAAACCGCAGGTTCACTGGGGGAGATTATCAGGACTTTAGACCTCAGGATGAAGAGACACACTCCAGGAGGGGCTGTGGATAGTTACCATGGTGCCCCAGAAAGGTGTCAGGGTAGTGCATGGGGAAAGCCCCCCAGGGTCCTGGCCAGCTTAGAGGCAATGGTGAGGAGCATGCTGGGCAGACTGTGCGGGGTCCAGTCATGATCAGCCTAGCTCCTGAGGGGCTTTGCGTGGCACAGGTGTGACAATAAGAGCAAAGATTCCAGTAAGGAACAAAGAGAGAGTGAGTCTCTAGGAAGCCTGGACTTTTGATTTAGCCAGACTTGGGTTTGCAGCCTGGCTCCTGCCCAGGGTAGAGTAAGCTCCTGTCACCACCACCGCCATTACAGGGGAATCCTAGCAAATCTATGAGAGCCAGAAGCTAGACACAATGCCTGGTGCTTAGTGCTCACCATATACTTGTCCTTGGATAGCCAATATCAAGTTAAATTTGCCAGAATTGTCACTCTGGGCCAGAAAGAGCTGTGTCCTGGCAATGGTGGCAGGGAGTCACCAGCAGGATCGGGTAGGACCCATGGTCACCACAGTGGCTAGTGCTGTGAGGAGGATGGAGATGCGGGAGAGTTTGCTCCCATAGGCCAGCACCATGGTGGGGCCACTGAGACTGAGACCAGCGCACTGAGGGCTGGGCCTGGCAGTGGCCCCTTTGCACAGGCAGAAGAGCCTCCTGGAAAAGGACTCAGTCTGGGCCCACTATGGGGGCTGACTGCTTGTAAGGAACGGAATAGACCACCAGGGGAGAACACCTCCCACATGAGGTAGTGCCAGAGCAAGACGCTGGACCTGACAACAAAGCCTTCAGTGGTGAAGACAGCAGAGACTCCAAGCTCCCTGTGAAGGAAGTGACTCATCCCGTCCCTAGCCCAGCTCCTTTCCTAAGGAGGAAAAAGGTGAGAATTCCAAAAAGAAAAACTCTGTCAGTAAATTCTAACATGGGAGATCTCAAGGAGCCCTACTTGGCCCCCGTCCAACAGCCAGTAACACAAAAAGCTGGCTGCTCAGAGACCACAGCACTGTCTGTTCTTAGGACAGAAGAGCAGATGGGTGGCACACAGGCCATAACCACCAACATGGAGTTGCTGTGCCAGGTGGAGCCAGGGCCTCACTCCTGCACCCCGTGGAGCTGTGACAGCTGGTGGCGGGCATTCTGGTGACAAGTGAGCCATGAGCAGGCTTGCGTGGCACAGAAAGCGGGCTCATTCTTACATACCCATGAGACACCCTCCGGAGAGTCCCAGAAATACTGTCCTGGAGCTTACAGGTGGAGAAGGTGTGAAGGTCTGCAGGTGCAAATGAGGCCAAGCAGTGAGATTTAAATTGGTCCTGTTAACCTGACCTCATTTGTATCCTCAGTATGGAGGTGCTTTGGGAAGATAAGGCAAGAATAGTGATGATCAGTAATAGCATCTACTTGTTGAGCACCTATTGCAGGCAGGTACTAGGCTTAACACTCTAAACATATTTTTTTACTCTTTATCCCAACCCTGAAATAAGGACATTTGAGACAGGAGGAAACTGAGGCTGAGCATTCATGTAAAGGTTGCGGCAGCATCTGGGAGAGATGTGGGAAAGAACAGGAACAGGACCCAAATGTTCACAGCAGAAGCAGTCCCTAGCAGGGGCCCTTCTCTGGCATGCTCGCTGCTCCCTCTGGACTCAGCAGGAGTCTCCAGGCTCCAGGAAGGACATGGAGCAAAGCTCTGCTTTTTGACCTGGGCATCTCCTTTTGAGGGAGTGGTGAGTTAGCCAAATGGGGCATGGAAATGACTGTGAAAATGGAATGGCAGCTGAAAGAAGGTCATGATCCAGGAAAGGGCATGAGGAGGGCAAACTGCAAAAGCCTGAGGCACTGCAGGGATGGGAATGTTGAATGGTATAACGGCACATCAGGGTTTCTATGACTTTGATGCAAGGGGAAAGCAATTTTCACCTCAGACTCAAACTGGAAGTTTTTCTCCCTACCAAAAGGCAGGATGCCAGAGAAACAGACCTTTTCCCTCCTGGGTAAGAGTCTGGTGTTTCTCCAGTGCTCCACTCTGACCTAGCAGGGAGCTAGCAGAGACCATCCCACAGTCACCTCATCCAGCAGAGGATTTTCCACATGTGCCATGGGCTCTGTTCCTCAGCGACTGCAATAACAGAGGTTCAGCATCTGGGGGGTGCCAGGCTAAAGGAAGTCAATCAAGCTTCTTGTTTTGTGTTTCATTTTGCTTTTACCCTAGCATTTTCCAGAGCCTTTAACATGCTAAAACGAATTGTCACTCACCAGGAGTGGAGATGCAGCCGGTCCTGAATTTATCTGAAAAATGAAAATCTTTATTTGGAAAATGCTTATTAACATCTTAGCGAATTGGTGTTCTGGGGAAGATGATTTAGGAAAATCTGCTCTATGCATGTCACTGCCTGCTTCATGATTGCTTACTGCTTAATTTGATGCAACTTTTTTTTTTAACCAAAAGTCAAATAATAACCCAGGTTTACCATTTGCAAAGCTTCCCCCTACTCCCAACACACACACCTTCCTCCTTCTTCCTCTTCTCCCTTTCCCTCTCCCTCTCCTTTTCCTGCCCTTTACTGTACAAGAATGCCTTGAATAAAGAAAACCTATAAAACAGAAATATAAATTTGGAAATGATTATTTAATTGGCCTTTGATTTCATGACAGGCAAAAATAAGTTGGCCCTCATATTTTTTTTTTTTTTGCAAAAAATGATACTTTAAATACTAAAGGATTTAAAGGATACTTGGTAAATATTTGTTGGCTTAATTCATGAAACATGTGGCTGTTATGTGAAAATACATTATCTGTATCCCAGGAATAAAAAGAAAATATCCTTTTTCTGGCCTAGAGCATAATACTTCAGCCCTGAGGGCCCCACTCACTCACCTGGTATTCTATGTATATGGTGCTCCCTGCGGCAGCCCTGGGCTCATTACAAGTAACACTGATTCTTAGGTGTTTTATGCCTTTTTACCAATCTCTTTAGAGGAAGCAGATGAACATTTAGAATTTTAACAGGGAATGTTTACCTGAGGACAGAAGCTAGATGAAAAGATCAGGTGGCACCCAGAACACATATTTTTCCTGACAATCCAGCCAAATGTGAATCCAGGGACTCAGTGTAATTCATCAGAACAAAGCAACACTGCGGGCAGGTTGTGTGGTACCCACTTGCCTTTGTAATACCGCCATGCTCAATTCCAAACACAGCCTGTCAACTCATCAGAGCAGGACTGGTGAGAAAGCCAAGGCTGGCAGCAGGTTTGGTGCCACCTCTTGGTGCCAGAGCCACCTGCACACAGCATGGAGCAAGGGAATAGCCAGGGTGCCCTGGAGCCAGTTCCTTCCAGAAGCCAGCAGCCCTAGGGCTCCTCTATCCCACTCCCAGCAAGAAGAAGCTGCCATGAATATGAAGGTGGGAAGAGGAAGCTCAGACCAGGGGAAGGCTTGGGCTGTGTGTTAATTCTTCTCTGGTCCCCAGGGCCCAACACAGTTGTCTGGTTAATACTGCATTAAATGCAGTGAATTGATTCTAGCCCCAGTTCCACTAAGAAATTCCTGAGTGCTCTCAGAAAGTTACTTCTCTTGGAGCCTGCAGCACAACAAACCACTCAGAGCTTGGTGCTATAAAACAACAGCAAGCATTTGTCATTACTATCTTTCACTTCTTTAGGGGTTGATGGGGCTCAGCTAGGTAGTTTTTGGTCCTCATGCAGTGACAATCAGACAATGGCTGGGGCTAGAGTTCTCTTGAAGGCCTTTCCATTCATACTCTCTGGTGCCTGACTTGGGAAGACCTAAATAGCTGGCGGCTGGAACAGCCGGGGCTCCTCAGGCACCTCTGTCTATTACAGTGTGCTCCCTCCAATGTGGACTCTCTGTCAGGGTAGCTGGACTTCTTACATGAAGTCACCTGTCCCCGGAGACAGGCTGGTGGAAGTCAATAACCCATTGTGATCCAGCTTCACAAGTCAAGCAGTGTCACTTCCACCATATTATATGCACGGAGACAGTCAAAAGCGCTGCCCATGTTCCAGGGCAGGAGATAGATCTCTCTTCTTGATGGGAAGAATGTTAAAGAATTTACAGACTTGCTTTGAAACAGAGCCTTAATTTCTCCATATCCTCTAAATGAGGATAATAATACCTCATGGGCCAGATTTTGTTGATGAGGGGGATGGAAGGATACTTGGGGCTAATGCAGATGAACTCATGTGGTGAAAATTAAGGTGCAGTCCAAACATAAGAGATGGACAATTAGAGCTGTCTGGAGTTACAAATCCTTAAACCGGAACATGTTATAATCTTTCAGAGGCCGAAAAAGTTTTCTTGTTGGCATTCTTCTCTTCAATAAATAAATCACCTGAGTTGCAAAAATACAATTTTCCCCATAAGATCAACAATAAAGCCATTTTGAATGAGAGAGAAATATAGCCTGTAAGTAATTTTTGCTTTTTCCTAATTTTCTCTTGATCAAAATAAGGTTGCCCACCATTGCTATGCATCTTGTTACACTCACTGCCAAGGCTCAGTGTCTTGCAAATGTTGCTGTGCATAAATGTTTATAGTGGAAAGGATTTAAGAACAAAAATGAGTTGTCATTGGCCTATTTAACATTAAGTACAATTGACATCTGTACTCTATTTGTATAAATAAGATAGGTTAAAATTTGTTCTGTACCCACTTCCATTATAATGCCAATAACAAGTTATTACACTCATTTATTAGTTGGAACTCTTGGTTCCAAAGAAAAAAAAAATCAAGGCTAAAACCACAAAAAAGGAAATGTAGGGGGCCTCAAGCACTGGGGTGTTGGAATGCGGCTGGAGGGTCTGGAACCAACAACTGGTGGGAAGCAAGGCTCTCCAGGATTCATTCAGTCATCTAATTATTCTTTCTCCCTCCTCCATCCTTGTTTCTCTCTCTCTGCTGCACTCTACTCTGCACACTGATTATTTCTATATTTCTACTTCTCAGCCAACATAACAAGCAGAAGTGGCTGCTCCATAATCTTCAGTTTTGAGTCTGTCATTCACCAGGCTTGCCCAGGCTAAATTAAAACTCTTAGTTAAAGGTTCAAATTCCTGGGAGAGACAATGTTGCCTGGTTGTGCAGGGGCCATTATCCATTCAGGGCTACATCACATAATACAATTGTGGTGCAGGCTCCTGGGCATAGAAGGGGAAAGAGTGCTGCTGGGGAGGGCCTAAGGGATTCTTGGTGAAATGGAGAGCCACTCCAGAGGGTGGTGGCTACAACGTATTTACACACACACTTTCCTGCTCTGCTAGACTTGTTTTGTTCTTCTCTATCCTCAATATCAAGCCCAATCCATAGTAGGTAGTCAATGCATGCTAAGCTTCATGAGTGGAAGTTTTTACAGTCACATTTCTTAAACAGCAAAAGCACCTAGAGTCTGGCGCACTTTGAGAATCTTGTGATAATTAGCACACTAAATGGTGTTATCTCTTTTAAGTCCATCTTCATAATGTGAAATGTAACCCAAAGGCACATGTTGATGTCTGAAAACAAACTTCTCTAATGTAATTATGCCTCTTTAATGAAATATCACAAAATGCATTTTAAGTGGTAATGGAATGGGGAAAAAGTACATAATGATCAGGGAAAGCATGCAAACACAGTATTTAGATATATAGATATGTCTTTGGCTTACAATTTAATAATGCTAATGTATGTCTTAGTGTCTGTGGACTAGAGATGCAGTAGGGCTCTATGAAAAGTCTATTCATTTGAAGTAATAAAGATTTGGGGGTAAATTATTGGGAGATAATTGAAGGCTAGAGGAAAATATGCAGTGAAAATCTAGCAATCAGAGCTAGACATTCTCAAAGGTAATCAGAATTTTGTACCAATCTCATTTTATTCAAAGTATCCCATATTTTTTGAGTTGGAAGGGATTTAGGGAAACATGTATTTCATCCCCTCTTGGTAACAACCAGTGACTTGGCCAAAGTCACATCAATGTCTTGGAGGGTCAAGGGACCAAAATGCCTAAGTGGAGGCACACATGTCCTAGAAGCGTTGGCTCATTCTTTCCCCCATGGCTTGCCATTTATTCCTTTAAAGGGGGAAATTCTCAGCTTGGAGTGATTTAATCTTATGCAACAAATGCTGTGGCTCCTGGGACTTATGTAGTCTTGGCAGGCAGCAGAATGCCCCAGAACTTATCTCTGCAGGCTTACCCATAATACTGATGTGTTTGTTTTGTCACCGTCTATTTTTCCTGCCCATTTTCCAGGAAGGCCCTAAGCTGTAGCACCTGACACACACTGCCAATGTCTAGCTTCATGCACCTTCCAGCTACCTTCTTCAACTCAGTTACATAAATATCTTTCTGCCTAGGTCTATTTTCCAGGCCAATGGTTCCCAGCCATGGTGGTATCACAGCACACTGGGGTGTTGCAATGAGCTGGGGTGTAAGACATTTGTTACTAACAACAGAGTTCCAAAGTCTACTAATGACTTACTTTGTAATACATAAAGAGAATTCAAGTTAATCCCCATAATTTGCCACACTCAATTGCACTGAACATACTTTCTTAGGATGGGCTGTGATTCTTAGGGTCGGCTCTAAGCATCTTTATTTTCAAGGAAGCAATTTTTAGTTTTAAGGGAAAAAAACTCATGTTGTTATCTTTTATGAATTGTCCATCTCACAAGACAGTGTAGTGTCAAGGGTTAGGAACAGTGGTCTGAGTTCACACCCCAGCTCCACCGCTAACTAGTGATATAACCTTGAGCAAGTTTCCTCAGCCTCTCTGAGTTCTTTCTCCTACAAATTGAGGATAATGAAAGGATGCATCTTGTAGGCGCCTGTGAGAATTAAACAAGGTAGTATATGTGATATCCTTAGACAGTCCCTAGAACTTGGTAAAGGCTAGTTTTGTAGGGCTCTTTTTATTTGCTATTGTAAGGCTTTTCCCTTTTCTGGGGGTTTTCCTTGATGGTGTATCAGTCTTCTAATTTTGGGGCATAAAGAACAAATGTATCATTAATGCTTTGTATCATGCCCATACACAAATCTATAGGCTGGCTAAGCCTGGATTTCTTTTGTTTTCTTGACTCTTAAAATTCCATGGGCCTGTTTCTTGGCTGACTCCAGAAATGTATCTTGTGCTTGAGTAACTCCAGGAAAAAAGGGTATTTGAGAAAATTTTCTCCAAGATATTTCATGACTCTTCATCAGCTCTCAGTCTTGCACCTTGATTCACTTCTCCCTTCCTCCATCCATCATCATCACGCTCTTTCTGTTTCTCTTCCAGGGAGAGGGGAGATAGGGTGAGTCCTGCTCTGGTTGCCTGCACTGCAGCCAAGCTGGGGCCAAGCAGAGGAGACAAGCGGGGGTCTGGGAGGCAAACCTCTGGCATCCCAGGTTAAAGTTTCAAACCATTTTCTAGCCATTACTGTATATCTACTGTGCCCTGTGGGATAAATTAGCATTCATGAGCTAACCTAATTGTTGTAGAGTCTACAAAAGCGGAGCTCAAATAGAGATCAGTGCCAGGAATGAAGTCCCACCTTTGATGTGTGAAACGCACTTCCACATTTTGACTTGTGATCAGAGAGACATTCTGCATTACTTGTTACCTCATTATCTTTTCCTTTTACTGTACAGACCCTGGGTAAAGATAAATTTACTTTTAGATATATATGTTAAAAATCTATCATATCATAAGGAATGAGCAAAGAGGTCATTTCTCTTTTCCCTAAAGCTGTGGGTCTCGGGCTCCCCGCTTGGCAGAATCACCTGAGAAACTTCTAAAAGGTACAGATGCCATCCTTTTCTGATTGCATTCGCCTGGAGTGACATCTGGGCACCAGCATTTCTCAGAGCCTCCCAGGTAATTGTTATGTTGCCAGAGCTGCAGGGATGAGAGGCAGCAGCCTATGGGCATCCACTGAGCAGTGTCATTACTCCTTTTCCCCCCAATTTCAGGTTCCAAAAAAAGGGTTAGATGACACCAGCTCTGAAATAGTCTAACTCCACAGATCCCAAAATAATATACCTGTGTAACCTCTTAATAAAGTTTTATAAATAGTACATGTTCTATTGTTACCTACCTCATTCTCTTGGCAACATTTTTAAGACTTGTTTCCAAGATTCATCTTAAACTACTAAAACAGAATTATGATGGACATTCAATAGCTATTCCTCCAAAATATGATTCTAAAAAAAGGGGGGGTGCTGGGCACAGTGGCTCACGCCTGTAATCCCAGCACTTTGGGAGGCCGAGTTGGGCAGATCATGAGGTCAGGAGTTCAAGACCGGCCTGGCCAAGATAGTGAAACCCCGTTTCTACTAAAAACACAAAAAAAGTTAAACAGGCATGGTGCTGGGCGCCTGTGATCCCAACTACTCAGGAGGCTGAGGCAGGAGAATCGCTTGAACCTGGGAGGCAGAGGTTGCAGTGAGCCGAGATCACACCACTGCACTCCAGCCAGGGCAACAGAGTGAGACTCTGTCTCAAAAAAAAAAAAAAAAAAAAAGCAAAAAAAAAGGATGAAGGATAAACTGTGGAAATATGACTCTATTTTTTTCCCACGATTTCTTAAAATTTTGTTTACTTTTTCTGAATGTGTCCTTCACAAATGTATAGATTATTAAATATTCCTAATACAGGAATATGAGAAAATATTTGTCCTCAAAAAATGGAAAACAGGAGCAAAAAGTTAAAAAAAACTGAAAAACCTTTGCCAGGTGCAGTGGCTCATGCCTATAATCTCAGTACTCTGGGAGGCTGAGGCAGGAGGATTTCTTGAACCCAGGATTTTGAGGCCAGCCTGGGCAACATAGTGAGACTCCATATCTATAAAAACACACATACAAAACAAAAAAAAACCCCTTAATTTAGTGAGAAGTGTGACCTCCAAACACTCAGAACTGATTCCTTTGGAGTAATGACCCTTAAACCACCTTTCAGGCCAGCATTTTGCAAGGTGCGGTCAAGATCCATGTGCATCATAGTCCTCTGGCTAGAAATGCAGACAAAGACCTCACCTGAAACTCATTCTCTAGGGACAGGAGCTGATAAAGCGCATCTTAAGCAAGCTTCCTAGATATTTTGCTTGCTTTTATTTTTTATAGCAGCATTGCCATCTTTAAAATAAAATTGTGCCTGGAATCCCAGTGAAGGGATGATGCAGGCTTGGGGTTCAGCAGTGGCCTGTTCTGGGGCTCCAGAGAAGCTTCCCTGAGGCATCATACCCAGCCACATGAGGGATTTCAAACATCAGTGTCACCTCTGCCTCCAGCTTCCAATGAGCTGCCCATCCCTTAGCTTTCCTCCTCTCCCTCCATCATGTCTTCATTCCCTGGGCTGCCTTTGTTAAGGTCCTTGGTCCCCTGGTCTCACTATACTCTTTCTCCTTTAATCGTCTTATTTGTTCCATGGTTTCTGGATTACATGCATTTGTCCAAAATAGTCACAGCAGAAAAGAAACTCAGAATACCTAAGGTTGGAGTGAGACAAATTAATTTTTTTGAACGTTTGCGTTTAACACACTGAACAGTGGAAGTTTAGCATCCCATCATTTCATTGTTTACCCACTTTGGCTGGAGTGGGCTTCAGAGATAGCCAAGCATTCTCTGGCTGTCCTGGATTGCTATGGAGGGCCAAATCTTGTATTACATGGTTGTCTGCCTTATGTAAAGTAACTAACATCAGATTCTCCATGCAAGTCTAATTCTCATGAAGAAAATAATATTGCAGATTAGAACTTTGAAGCTGACATTGAAGGAACTGTGTGTCGGTTCTTACAGTCCTAGTTGTGTTTTTTTTTCATGAGAGATGAGGAAAGGAGAACAAACACCAAGTCTGCGTGTGAATTGCAGTGCTATGATAAGCATAGATTGGGCAGTTCCAACTAGCTCTCAAGGCTGTTTAAGATCCAAGTGTGACTAAATGCTGATTCACACAAAGCAATACACATCATTTGAAACAATCACTGGGGGGTATTATTGTGGCATCTCTTTGGGGGAATCCAGAGGCCCAACTTAACCCTCACTAATTTCCACACATTGAACAACTGAGTATTGAGAGAGGCTCAGGATGAGGAAAAGCACTGGCCGTAAAATATCATTAACATCATTACCCAGCCCCACAACCTCAGTCACCCCCAACCAGAGGTGGAAACCCTCAAAACATGGGTGGAAGTCCATGGACCAACCATGGAATTTTGGGCTGTGCGTTTAGCTGATGCCACTTCTTCCTCTGTGTGCTTAGCTGATGCCACTTCCTCTTTTGTCCATTGCATCCATAAAAGAAGCCATTTTGGGTAGGCCAGAAAGTATGGGACTAAGGTCTTTTTTTTATTTTTTTATCTTCTATCCTCCAATTCTCTCATTAACTCAGGGCCAATGGCAACTGGGAATCACTTGTTTTGATTCCTCCTGAGACTGCACAGAACACACATGGCATATTCCTCCCAAAGCTGCTAGAAACCTAGTATGGTATACACTGCTCTGCAAGCAAGACGCCAATGCTAGAGCACAATTTCACTGCACTTTATACTTCAGCTCTTGCCAGAGCAGCCTTGACTCCTCCAGACACGATGTTCATAGTCCAGGTGCAAAAATCAGGTGCTGGAATTCATGTCAGTTAGTTTTCTTTTAAAAGCAAAAGACTCCTTACCAGCGACTCCTCCCTAATCAGTTGCCTGCTACAAACTGGATACTGTAACAACAGGGAGCTTCTTGGCTGGCAAAAGTAAAAGTAGGGAGTTCACCCACTCCAGCATTGCTGAGCAGAGTGTGCTTCAGGTCATCTTGCCAAGGCAATGAAATGTTTCCAGCTATTTCCTTAAGGTTCATTTCCTAAGAACAAACCATGATTCATGGCACTGGGGGGACAGGGGGTGAATTGAATTAATGCCTGATTGGTAAGTAAAACAAATAAATCTCTTAGTTTTAAAATACATCTGCAAGATTACTCTAAAGTAACTATAGTTTAGAAATGTACAGTGAATACTTTGAAGGTCTAGACTTACACCAATCTGTTTCCTAATCATTAGGAATCTGTATTAGAGTTCTGTCAGTCAAGATTTGATCCACTTATTTATTCAACAAATGTACTATGCATGTAGTGTGTGTAGCTACTGCCCTAGGCACTGGGGATGCAGTATTGCCTTCAAGGAATTTACATCTAATCTATTACTTAATATATTCAAAATGGGAGAATCTTTGCTTGAACCTATTAATAGTAATGAGGTCAAGTACAATCATACATATTTTCCAAAGAGTTAACCTTTCAGCTGGTCTCATATTTGTCCTGTCATGCTCTAAACATTGTATTACAGGCGTGCCATACCTCATCCTTCCTGTTAAAGCAGCAGCCTCCCAGCCCCTAGGATTTCTTCCCGTCCACATTCTTGCTGTCATCTCAGCCATCCACACCGCCCACATCACAAATTTACTCCCTCATAACATATCTACTTGCACAATGTTCCTCAAATCCTGTTTAAAATCCATTAGTGTTTTGCTCAAGAACCTTCACTAGTTTTTTATTTCTAAATAAAACATTTGCCCTTCTTTAAGGCCCTAAATCTCGAGTCATTTAATGTAATTAAACTTGTTTTCTGTGATTTAATTAATTCATTTAATCACGTAATCAATCATTAACCAACAAAGATTTAATAGGCACCTATGCTGTATCTGGTGGCCCTGAGCCACCAAAGGTATTGGTAGCAGATGCTGTGGTGGCCACCCAGATTCCTCCTTCAGGTCTGAAGCCCTCCTCCCCTCAGCATGACAGGGGTGTTGGTGGCTAAGGGCTTCCAACTGAGTCCCTCTTTGGCAATTGCTCTCGGCTGAAGGGAGCTGCCTTCCCAAGGTTACTCCCGCTCACTGGAAGCAGTCAGCACTGATAATAGGTTGATGTGAATGTCAAAGGTTTGGGACCCTTACTGCAACTTGCAATGAGTTTGAAGGGGCATCCTAGCTCCAGAGTTCCCTATTGGATTGGACTGAAGTTCAACTTCTCTCAGCCCAATTCCACTTTCCTCACCCCATAACAGGCTCAAGAAGCTTACAGTGTAACAAAGAAATCAGACAAATAAGTGGACAAATAAAACAGTGTGGTAAGGCTCACGCCTGTAATCCCAGCACTTGGGGAGGCCGAGGTGGGTGGATCACCTGAGGTCAGGAGTTTAAGACCAGCCTGACCAACATGGTGAAACCCCGTCTCTACTAAAAATACAAAAATTAGCTGGGTGTGCTGGTGCATGCCTGTAATCGCAGCTACTCGGAAGGCTGAGGCAAGAGAACCACTTGAACCTGGGAGACGGAGGTTGCAGTGAGCCAAGATTGCGCCATCGCACTCCAACCTGGGGGACAAGAGCGAGACTTCATCTCAAAACAAAACAAAACAAAAACAGTGTGGTAAGAGATATGACAGGGGAAGGTCTAGGTTACAGGAAGAGAAGAGAGTTCCTTCAGGATCTGAGTTCTAAGTGAGATGTGAAGACTGAGCCAGAGTCATCCAGGAGAACTGGCAGGGCCTGGGCAGGACAGAAGGGTGGCCATCCAAGATAACAATATGTGTGCATGTCCAGGGAAGAGAGGGCATCAGGCACTGAGGAATGGTGAGAGGCACTGGGAAATGGTGAGGAGCACTGGGAAATGGTGAGGAGCACTGGGGAATGGTGAGGAGCACTGGGAAATGGTGAGGAGCACTGGGAAATGGTGAAGGGCACTGGGGAATGGTGAGGGGCACTGGGAAATGGTGAGGAGCACTGGGAAATGGTGAAGGGCACTGGGGAATGGTGAGGAGCACTGGGAAATGGTGAGGAGCACTGGGAAATGGTGAAGGGCACTGGGGAATGGTGAGAGGCACTGGGGAATGGTGAGGGACACTGGGGAATGGTGAAGGGCACTGGGGAATGGTGAGGAGCACTGGGAAATGGTGAGGAGCACTGGGAAATGGTGAAGGGCACTGGGGAATGGTGAGAGGCACTGGGGAATGGTGAGGGACACTGGGGAATGGTGAAGGGCACTGGGGAATGGTGAGGAGCACTGGGAAATGGTGAAGGGCACTGGGGAATGGTGAGGAGCACTGGGAAATGGTGAGGAGCACTGGGAAATGGTGAAGGGCACTGGGGAATGGTGAGAGGCACTGGGAAATGGTGAGGAGCACTGGGAAATGGTGAGGAGCACTGGGAAATGGTGAAGGGCACTGGGGAATGGTGAGAGGCACTGGGAAATGGTGAAGGGCACTGGGGAATGGTGAAGGGCACTGGGGAATGGTGAGGAGCACTGGGGAATGGTGAGGGGCACTGGGGAATGGTGAGGAGCACTGGGGAATGGTGAGGGGCACTGGGGAATGGTGAGGGGCACTGGGAAATGGTGAAGGGCACTGGGGAATGGTGAGAGGCACTGGGGAATGGTGAGGGACACTGGGGAATGGTGAAGGGCACTGGGGAATGGTGAGGAGCACTGGGAAATGGTGAAGGGCACTGGGGAATGGTGAGGAGCACTGGGAAATGGTGAGGAGCACTGGGAAATGGTGAAGGGCACTGGGGAATGGTGAGAGGCACTGGGAAATGGTGAGGAGCACTGGGAAATGGTGAGGAGCACTGGGAAATGGTGAAGGGCACTGGGGAATGGTGAGAGGCACTGGGAAATGGTGAAGGGCACTGGGGAATGGTGAGGGGCACTGGGGAATGGTGAAGGGCACTGGGAAATGGTGAGGGGCACTGGGGAATGGTGAGGGACACTGGGGAATGGTGAAGGGCACTGGGGAATGGTGAGGAGCACTGGGAAATGGTGAGGAGCACTGGGAAATGGTGAAGGGCACTGGGGAATGGTGAGGAGCACTGGGAAATGGTGAGGAGCACTGGGAAATGGTGAAGGGCACTGGGGAATGGTGAGAGGCACTGGGAAATGGTGAGGAGCACTGGGAAATGGTGAGGAGCACTGGGAAATGGTGAAGGGCACTGGGGAATGGTGAGAGGCACTGGGAAATGGTGAAGGGCACTGGGGAATGGTGAGGGGCACTGGGGAATGGTGAGGAGCACTGGGAAATGGTGAGGAGCACTGGGAAATGGTGAAGGGCACTGGGGAATGGTGAGGAGCACTGGGAAATGGTGAAGGGCACTGGGGAATGGTGAGGGGCACTGGGAAATGGTGAAGGGCACTGGGGAATGGTGAGGAGCACTGGGAAATGGTGAAGGGCACTGGGAAATGGTGAGAGGCACTGGGAAATGGTGAGGAGCACTGGGAAATGGTGAAGGGCACTGGGGAATGGTGAGGGGCACTGGGAAATGGTGAAGGGCACTGGGGAATGGTGAAGGGCACTGGGGAATGGTGAGGAGCACTGGGAAATGGTGAAGGGCACTGGGGAATGGTGAGAGGCACTGGGGAATGGTGAGGAGCACTGGGAAATGGTGAAGGGCACTGGGGAATGGTGAGGAGCACTGGGAAATGGTGAAGGGCACTGGGGAATGGTGAAGGGCACTGGGGAATGGTGAGGAGCACTGGGAAATGGTGAAGGGCACTGGGAATGGTGAGGAGCACTGGGAAATGGTGAGGAGCACTGGGAAATGGTGAGGAGCACTGGGGAAATGGTGAGGGGCACTGGGGATATGGTGAGGAGCACTGGGGATATGGTGAGGAGCACTGGGAAATGGTGAGGGGCACTGGGGAATGGTGAGAGCGCACTGGGAAATGGTGAAGCGCACTGGGGAATGGTGAGGGGCACTGGGGAATGGTGAGGGGCACTGGGAAATGGTGAGGGGCACTGGGGAAATGGTTAGGGGCCCTTGGGGAAATGGTGAGGGGCACTGGGAAATGGTGAGGAGCACTGGGAAATGGTGAGGAGCACTGGGAAATGGTGAAGGGCACTGGGGAATGGTGAGGAGCACTGGGAAATGGTGAGGAGCACTGGGAAATGGTGAAAGGGCACTGGGGAATGGTGAGGGGCACTGGGAAATGGTGAGGAGCACTGGGAAATGGTGAGGAGCACTGGGAAATGGTGAAGGGCACTGGGGAATGGTGAGAGGCACTGGGAAATGGTGAAGGGCACTGGGGAATGGTGAGGGGCACTGGGAAATGGTGAGGAGCACTGGGAAATGGTGAGGAGCACTGGGAAATGGTGAAGGGCACTGGGGAATGGTGAGGAGCACTGGGAAATGGTGAAGGGCACTGGGGAATGGTGAGGGGCACTGGGAAATGGTGAAGGGCACTGGGGAATGGTGAGGAGCACTGGGAAATGGTGAAGGGCACTGGGAAATGGTGAGAGGCACTGGGAAATGGTGAGGAGCACTGGGAAATGGTGAAGGGCACTGGGGAATGGTGAGGAGCACTGGGAAATGGTGAAGGGCAATGGGGAATGGTGAGGAGCACTGGGGAATGGTGAGGAGCACTGGGAAATGGTGAAGGGCACTGGGGAATGGTGAGAGGCACTGGGAAATGGTGAAGGGCACTGGGGAATGGTGAAGGGCACTGGGGAATGGTGAAGGGCACTGGGGAATGGTGAGGGGCACTGGGGAATGGTGAGGGGCACTGGGGAATGGTGAGGGGCACTGGGGAATGGTGAGAGGCACTGGGGAATGGTGAAGGGCACTGGGGAATGGTGAGGGGCACTGGGGAATGGTGAGGGACACTGGGAAATGGTGAGGGGCACTGGGGAATGGTGAGAGGCACTGGGGAATGGTGAGGGGCACTGGGAAATGGTGAGGGGCACTGGGGAATGGTGAGGAGCACTGGGGAATGGTGAGGGGCACTGGGAAATGGTGAAGGGCACTGGGGAATGGTGAGGGGCACTGGGGAATGGTGAGGAGCACTGGGAAATGGTGAGGGGCACTGGGGAATGGTGAGGAGCACTGGGAAATGGTGAGGAGCACTGGGGAATGGTGAAGGGCACTGGGGAATGGTGAGGGGCACTGGGGAATGGTGAGGAGCACTGGGAAATGGTGAGGGACACTGGGAAATGGTGAGAGGCACTGGGAAATGGTGAGGGGCACTGGGGAATGGTGAGAGGCACTGGGGAATGGTGAGGGGCACTGGGGAATGGTGAGAGGCACTGGGGAATGGTGAGGGGCACTGGGGAATGGTGAGGGGCACTGGGGAATGGTGAGGGACACTGGGGAATGGTGAGAGGCAAGGCTGGAGAAGAAGGGGCAGGAAGACGGTGTGTGACAAAGATCCTGAAGTCCTAGTTAGCCATGTCGACACAGTTGGAAGTGTTGAATGGTTTTCAAAACAAGGAGTGACAGGATTCGATTTGCATATTGGAAACAGCTCTCTGGAAGATTGATGGGCAACAAGAGAAGATGCAAAGAGGACAGTTAGAGCTGCTGCTGAAGACCATGGGAAAAACGACTGTGGATCATGGCATTGAGGGTGGAAAGCAATGAATTGATTTGAGGACCATTAATGAGACAGAATCAGCAGGATGACTGCCTGGATAAAGGAATAGGGGGAATGGTAGTGCCACTTGCTGGAGTAAGGAGACTGGAGGAAAAGCAGACTTGGGGTTTCAGGTGACTAAAAGACACCCCATCGCAAGGAGGAGCCCCTCTTCTGGACACAGCCAACCTCTCTTCCAGGGGATGGTGCTCCCTCTACTAACTAGCTGCTTGGTCATCTCTCCATTCTTCTGGCTGCCTTTCTACAGTCTTAAGCATGCCCAAATCACATGGCTGTTATCTTCATTAGAACTCTCCACTAAACCAGCATCTCCCCAAGGCAACCACTAGATCTCTCTCCTTCCTTCATGCATAGACATCCTTGGCAGAGTCCCTTATACCTGCTATCTCTGCTTCCTCAGAGGTTTCTAGGAGTCCTTGTGCTTTCCTCAGAAGGATTTTCCAGTCACACTCAAGTTCACAGAAGTCTGGCATCTTCATCTAATACTGCACAGAACTGCTCTCACCAAGATGGTTAAAGACCTCCATGTTTCTGGTTCACAGGACACGCCAGTCATTATCATGTCAGCTGACCACTTCCTTCTGTTGGTTTCTCTGACCCACATGCTCCTGGGTTTTGTGATCTCTCTGGCTGCTCTTTTCCAGTCTCCCTTACAGATATCTCTTGTTCACAAACATTGATGTCCTCTAGAGTTCAAAAACTAGGCTCTTTTTACCTCACACACATTCCCTGGGCAATCTCATTATTGTCTTTTTGTTGAAGATTTCCAAACCTGTGTCTGCAGGCCAGCTCTCCTCAGTCTCAGACCCATACGCCCACCTGCCTGTTCAGTGCTTACACTGGCGTAAGAAGCAGACTCTTTGGTGAGTCTGAGGGTATGTGGCAGCTCCTTCTGATGGTGCCCAGTTTCTCCATTGAGTAAGAGGCAAGGCCATGTTTAGGGGTGTGGGAGTTGGTGACAGGGTAGCAGGTTTAAGAGACTAGTGGACATTTGCTGTATCTTCTTGGGAGTTTGGAATTAGGAGAATGTAGAAGCCAGTATGTGGGATCCAGTTGCTAACGGAAACTATGAATCCATAGGGTTCCTGCCTTCTAAGTTGTGGGATTTCTCCAGCACTCCAGTAAATAGCATGGGTATGGATCCAAAGTTGGATAGTAACATTCTGTCACGTGGATGAGACAGAAGGACCAAGCAAGGAAAGATCCTGGCAGAGGGAGTTGCAGTGACAGGCCCTGGGATGAAGATAGAATACCAAACAGACTTGGAGGCAGTAGAGGTTTGGATGTTTGAATTTTAAAATGCAGAGGCAAAGCCAGACTGGGGTGATGATATGGTGCAAGGTGAGACCATAAGTGTTGGTCAATGACATGAAGTGGGAGTGCAGGTCCCTGGAGATGAGGATGTCAAGGGGCTGACAGGCTCAGTGTTGAAGTCATTCCTAGCACTGGTAGGAGCTGGAAGGACTGGGGCCAATGCTGGTGAGGTCAAGGGGGAGCTGACGGGCAGTCTGCACAAGACACTAGTGACAAAGAGCGGAGATAAAAAGGAGTTCAGAGGAGTTTTCCAGGAGGGAAAAAGAAGGCTTGGGGAGGGAGGGAGTGGAGCTGTGGGAGAATGAACCTGTCATAGGAGAAGGGTCCTCTGGGAAGGGGTGGAAGCTACAGAGAAGAGCTGAGTGTATCAGGAACAGATCTCTGACCCCAGGAAGCATAAGGCAAGGTTGAGTAGAGGGAACAGCTTAGGAGTGAGAGGATACATTGTGTGAAACATCCAGGTTCCCACCCTAGATAATGGAGGTAGGAGATCGACCATACGATGTCCAACTGAATTGGTCCCAAATCTTCCTGTGTCTGGGGGCAGGTGAGAGGAAGGTTCAGGCCTCTGAAAAGGAGTCAACAGAAGCAAGCTGGAGGAAATCAAGTTCTGGCCCAAAGAGGAGGCCAGAGGTAGAATTTTTGCCTCCCAGTATTCCTAAAGCCACCTTCATAGTAGGGGGAACTAAGTACCCTTGGGGGAGAAGCCTGCTCTGGCCCAATTAGATTTGGGGAACTCTGAAAGCCAGGCTTCAGATTGGGGTACTCCAGGCATTTCATGTTCCACTCATTAGTTACCTCATTCATTCACTCTTTAATCCATTCACTTATTCCTGAAACTTACATTAGTTGTTTCTTCCCTTCCTTCCTCATCTGAAGAGGCTTAAAGTGTTCATATTAGCACCGACTGTGTGCCAGGCACTGAGGAAGCGTTTTTAGAAATATATAGCTCCCTGATTATAATTCCTTTGCCATGTTCCCTTCTATTAAAACAAAATCTAGCCTTCCAGCATGGCCTAGACCAAATTTCACCTATTCCCTGAAAACTAAATCATGTTGGCCATCATCTCTTCCCTTTGGAAATCTTTAGTACTTATTCTCTGAATCACATATTTTGCTATATATTTTTTTCTAGCTTACCCTGCCTGTCCAATGAAACTGTAAGCCCTTGGGGATGGGGACTTAATGAATTTTAAGTGTATGATTCGGTTAAGCATGTAAATGGGAGTCTGGTATCCTCACGAGCCGTCTGGTGCTTAAGTAGCAGGCCTCTAACATTGTATGATTCTCTCAGGGGGTTACTTATCATTTTTTCAATTTCCTATAGCTATGCTTCTCTTTTCATGGGAAGCATAGACAGGGAAGCCTAGAATTTCGCCTGTTTTTATGGGCAGTAGGAAGAAACATGGTTTAATAGTGCCAATAACACAACTACCTGCCTACTGGTCAGGTAATTTGGCATAAGCTCTATGCCTATATATGCAGTATAATCCAGTGGGGGCTATCCAGTCCCGGTGGGACTCCAGGTGGGTCCACATGGTCTGCAACTTTGGGAATTTACTAAACGGATTTCTCACTGTGTGATGTAAACTCCACCAAGAGACTATTTTTGTGGTACCATTACACAGTTTCCGTCTCAGACAACTAAGTCGTCCTATGGGGTGAGTGAATTCTTTTCCTTCTCTAGCTATGCAATATTGTCCAATAATGGAGGCTTTTAGGACCTAGAAATCATCAGGGTGATTCTTTTGAGCTAGGAATTCATCAGGAACTGGGTCTGTAGGTACTAATTCTCGGCCTTCCTATGGCCACTGATCTCCTATTACAGTTCCTCCACATACATAACATGAAGTGACATTGAGAGACTGGGCTACATGCTCGGCTAATTGCAAAAACAAATTTCTTGTTTTTCTTGTAGTTTCTGGTACTGGCATTTAGTTCATCATAGAAAGTTTGAAACACTGGCTCAACTTATTACTCCAGGCTGTAGAATCCTGGAAAACAGCTACCATGCAGCCCACACCTGGCCAACTGGAGGACCACCTTAGTGGAAAGGGGACAATTTGGGCCTCTGGCCCTGCCATGTGCACAAGCATAACAATTGCTTTTGTTTAACATGCAGATGGAATATTTGATCCATTTTGACCAGGCATTTGCATCTTGGTATCCTGTCTTAATTGCTAAAGTTTGTTTTAAGTCTTTAACTTCTATCATCCTCTACTAAAATGAATGTATGGTTTTAGGAAATTACAAAACCAGCTGGGGCAGTCCATCCTTGCTCTTTTGGACCAACTATGGCATGAAAGCTCTACGTCGGGGGGCAAGACTCCTTGTTGGCACTGGGGTCTTTATCTAAATCTCCCTGGATTAAATGGTCCTAGTTTATTAATGCCCAGTCTGAGGAGAGTCAGGAGGGACAGAAGTGCTTTTCTGAAGTAGAGAGCTGTCTTTGACTTGGCAAGTCCTCACAGACCATGCTTCCACTCAAATGGAGTAGGCAAGTTCCCAAGACCAATCCTGTCAAGCTATTCAAACCAAGTCAAAACCAAAACCAAAGTACCAATAAAGGCATGCCGTGGGTGATCAGGCCACACTTCCACTCAAATGGAGTGGGCAAGTTCCTAAGACCGGTCCTGTCAAGCAATTCAAACCAAGTCAAAAACCAAAACCAAAACCAAAACCAAAGTGCCGATAAAGGCATGCCATGGGTGATCAGGCTACACTTCCACTCAAACAGAGTGGACAAGTTCCCAAGACCAGTTCCCAAGGCAAGCATTAAATGCAATAGTTTGAGGTGAAATCGACTTGGTTATGTTAATAACTAGATGGTCAGCAATAGAACGAGGAAAGAAGAAAGAGCAATAGAATAGATGAAAAGAGTTAAATTTCTCTTAGCTTTAGTTTGGTAGGGTTTTCCCCTGGGACTATGGCCTATGACTCTGGAGGGGGTAGCGCTTTCTTGACTTGGGTGTGATGAATCCATCCTTTTTTTTTTTTTTTTTTTGCTGTAGGAACAGCAGTCTTGGTGGTTAGCAGCACAAGGTAGGGTCCTTCCTAGGCTGGCTCCAGTTTTTCTTCTTTCCACCCTTTGATGATAACGTGATCTTCAGGCTGGTGCTGGTTTACCAGAAATTCTAGGGGTGGTACCTGTGCTAAAAGACTTTCAGTTTTTTTGTTTTTTTTTTTTTTTTTTGCGAGAAAGGAAAGTGGAAGATAAACCAAGTATATAATTTTTAAGAAAATTGACCTTTTGTTTTAAATATGGGGACCTTGGCAGTGGACTTTATAGTCCTTAGTGCTTTTTTACTGAGAAATTTCCTTTAGAACCTATTTTTATTAGTTTTTAAACCAAAGAAAGCCAAATACCATTTTACATTTAACAATGCTTCTCACATGATTTTTATACCAGATAAGCTAAATTTTATCTTTATATTAGTGTGTTATTAATGTTAAACCTAATTTTAATAAAACCTTGTAAACATATTTACTTAATTTTTTAATGTTTGACTATTAGGAAAGATTTTATAGACTCTTTAACCTTCTATAATTTTTACTAAAGAGCAGGTTGGTGCTTTAAGAAAAACCTGTTATGCTTTTAATTTACTGTCCAGTTCACAGAAAAACTGGATGATACCTCTTTAACTTTAGCTAATATGTTTACAAACAGCATTTTCTTTACAATTAACGTTTTAAAACTTGCTTAAACCTTCAAAACAATAATTCTTTTTAACTTTTTAATGTAGGTAAAAATGTACATTCTTAGGCCTCCTTATAATCCTTTTACCAAAGGTATATTTTACTTTTCTTATACACCTTGCACATAAACTGTTTTCTTTTTTTTTTTTCAACGGTTTTACATTCAGGAGGCCTAGTTACTTTTAAATTATACAACATTTTTTGCATAAATTTTTTATAACTTTTTTTCATGACTTTCGCAGACAATTCTTCGACATGCCTCAACTTTCTGACTTATTACAAATATTTCTTTCTTTAAACAACCAGTTAATTTATTTCAGGACAAGAATTTACCATATAATACTTTTTTTAATATAAATTCTGCCCCCGCTTTTTTTTCCTTTTTTTTTCCTTAGGATACTTCTGAACTGGTGAGGTGTGATCACAATGAGGTTTCCCCTAAAAGTTATTTTTTTTTTTTACCTTTTTTTTTGTTTGTTAGCAAAGCAGTTGCCGCTACAGATTGGATGCATTTGGGCCATCCACAGGTTACTGGGTCAAGGATTTTTGATAGGATGGCCTCAGTGCTTTTGGGATACGCCCTTGTTTACACTGACAACAAAGTGGTATTGGAGTGTTATAGGGTTACGAGCATACCTTCAATTATCAATTATAGGTTTTAAATTTACCTTGGCTTTTAAAGGAATAGGGTACACTTTTTTTTTTCTCAACTACTTGTGTATCTCTCTTTGACTTTTCCTTTTGCCTCTGTCTCTTCTCCCTCTCTGCCTCTCTCTTTCTCTCTCTCCTTAAATCCCTCTTTGTCTGTCTCTTCCTCTCTCCCTTTGCCTCTTTTCCTCTCTGTTTCCTTTCTCTCTCTCTGCTGTTCTTTCCCTGCCTCTGCCAGCCCCTTATGCTGCTGTTCTCTCAACCACTGTGTGTTGGGGGCGGGGGTCTAAAACCAGCTGTAACCAAGTGTCTATGTACGGGAACTGGTCTAGGTTCCCCAGCTTACAGGTTACCTTGTGCCATACCTTTGAAACAAGGGACTTGTCCAGGCTTCCTTCTAATGGCCAACCTACCTCTAACGCTGGCCAGCCTAATTTACACAAAGTTTTAAATTTTCCTAGTGTCATAGTACTCCATAGTCTCCTTTACATTTTGTTTTGAAAATTTTCAACATAGTTCCTGGTAGGGTGGGCTTATTTGTGCCTGACCTATGCTTCTTCGAGACAAAACACCACACTCACGCCACACGCACACAAGAAAACAACAGGTAAAAAGGGCACACACACACACTTTTGCAGTTTCCACCAAACCAAAATCAAAACCAAAATCAGAGTATCCAGAAATCCAAGCCAGGTCAAAACCAAAACCAAAGTATCAAGCAATCCAAGTAGAGTCAAAAACAAAAACCAAAGTGCGGGTACAGGTACACCGTGGGTGATCAGGCGACGCGTCCACTCAAATGGAATAGGCAAGTTCCCAAGACCAATCCTGTCAAGCTATTCAAACCAAGTCAAAACCAAAACCAAAGTGTCGATAAAGGCATGCTGTGGATGATCAGGCCACACTTCCACTCAAATGGAGTGGGCAAGTTCCCAAGACCAGTCCTGTCAAGCAATTCAAACCAAGTCAAAACCAAAGTGCCGATAAAGGCACGCCATGGGTGATCAGGCCACGCTTCCACTCAAACGGAATGGGCAAGTTTCAAAGATTAGTCTTACCAAGTTTTAGATGTCCAGACTCCAAGTGCCCATTCCTTCCCGGTGTTCAGCCACTGCGTTGATTCTCCACGGGGGCCTGCCACACACTGCTGTGGTGAGGTGTCCCACCGGGGCAAATGCCTACCCGGGAGCGCTCTCAGGATCCGTGTCGCTTGGGCTGGTCACAGTCCCCCACAGGGATGTTCCACAGGACAGGCTTAAGCTGCCTAAGGAGCTGCCTCCACCATCCACCAATCACCTCGCTTCCCAGTCAGGGAACCAAGAAATGTAGCAGGACGAGCCACAGACAAAACTCCTCAGACACCGAGTTAAAGAAAGAAGGGGTTTATCCGGCCAGGGGCATTGGCAAGACTCCTGTCTCAAGAGCCAAGCTCCCCGAGTGAGCAATTCCTGTCCCTTTTAAGGGCTCACAACTCTAACGGAGTGCGTGTGAGAGGGTCGTGATCGATTGAGCAAGCAGGGGGTACTTGACTGGGGGGCTGCATTCACCCGTAATTAGATCGGAACAAAACAGGATAGGGATTTTCACAGTGCTTTTCTATACAATGTCTGTAATCTGTAGATAATATAACCAATTACGTCAGGGGTCGATCTTTAACTACCAGGCCCAGGGTGTGGTGCCTGGCTGTCTGCTTGTGGATTTCATTTCTGCCTTTTAGTTTTTACTTTTTCTTTCTTTGGAGGCAGAAACTGGGCATAAGACAATATGAGGGGTGGTCTCCTCCCTTAAGAAGAGCGTCCCCAGGAGAAACAAGCTTTACCACTATGCTGTCACAGAGTTTCCTCTGACCACTGAGTCTGCCATGAAGAAGATAGAAGACAACAACACACTTGTGTTCACTGTGGATGTTAAAGCCACCAAGCACCAGATCAAACAGGCTGTGAAGAAGCTCTATGACACTGATGTGGCCAAAGTCCATGCCCTGATTAGGCCTGATGCAGGAAGAAGGCATAAGCTCCACTGGCTCCTGATTACAATGCTTTGGATATTGCCAACAAAATTGGGATCAACTTTGTTGCTGACCCAACAAAACTGGGATATTGCCAACAAAATTGGGGTCATCTAAACTGAGTCCAGCTGGCTAATTATAAATACATGTATCTTTTCACCAGGTTCATGCCTCTTTGTCAACTTCTGGTTGGGCTGGGGAGGCCATTCAAGGTACTGAGGTTGTAATAGGGCCTGGGCAAGACTCCTGTTCTACTTATCCTTTTGGAACACTCACTCTGCCACTCCACCATACTTGATCACTCCAGAGATCTTTATGACCAGAGCTAGTTGTCCTAAGAAAACCAGAACTTGTCTCCATGGTAGAGGTAAGAAAACAAGAAGCTGCCGGGTGGCGGTGGCTCAAGCCTATCACTTTGGGAGGCCCAGGCAGGCAAATCACTTGAGGCCAGGAGTTCGAGATCAGCCTGGCCAACATGGTGAAACCCCATGTCCACTAAAAAGACAAAAATTAGCCGGGCATGGTGGTGGGCACCTGTAGTCCCAGCTACTCAGGAGGCTGAGGCAGTAGAATCTGGGAGGCAGAGGTTGCAGCGAGCCAAGATCTGGCCACTGCACTTCAGCCTGGGTGACAGAACGAGACTCCGTCTCAAAAAAAAAAAGAAAAAAGAAGAGGCTTTACAAGAACCCCTTCTTTTATCCCTGGAAGAGGCTGTGTGTGAAACCAATGCCCACAGTTTGAAGGGCATTAGCATTCATCTCAGGGGAGTGTGGGTTGGCTGGCTTTCAGGTAGCACTTTGACCTCACACACCCATCTACTATGTCCAACTGGTCTGTCTGCTTCCCTCAGCCTTAACCAATAAAGGACAAGGACTTAAAAAAAAAGAGCGGGAGTGAGGGGAACAAAGGGCATCTTTTTTTTTTTTTTTTTTTTGAGACAGAGTCTTGCTCTGTCTACCAGGCTGGAGTGCAGTGGTGCCATCTTTGCTCACTGCAACCTCCATCTCTGGGGTTCAAGCAGTTCTACTGCCTCAGCCTCCCTAGTAGCTGGGATTACAGGTGAGCTCCACTATGCCTAGCTAGTTTTTGTATTTTTACTTGAGACAGGGTTTCGCCATGTTGGCCAGGCTGGTCTCGAACTCCTGACCTCAGGTGATCCTCCTGCCTTGGCCTCCCAAAGTGCTGGGATTACAGGCGTGAGCCACTGCGCCCAGCTTTTTTTTTTTTTTTGGGAAATGGGGTCTTCTCTGTTGCCCAGGCTGGAGTGTAGTGGCGTGATCACAGCTCACTGCGGCCTTGATCTCCCAGGCTCAATCGATCCTCCCACCTCAGCCTCTGGAGTAGCTGGGACCACAAGGGCGGGCCATCAAGGCTGGCTACTTTTTTTTTTTTTTAATTATTATTTGTAGAGATGAAGTCTCGCTATGTTGCCCAAGTTGGTCTCCAACTCCTGGGCTCGAAGGATTCTCCTGCCTTGCCCTCCCAAAGTGCCGGGATTACTTCTCCGTTGCTTAGTCAAGAACACTATGAAGAACTTTTGAGTAGTAACTTCAACTTACCCTTTGGGTTTGTATGTATGCTGTTACTTTTTTTTTTCTTCTGTTGCACAAAGGTATTATTCACCTTATGCAGTTTCAGCTCCACCCACGTGCAAGCAGCTCTTAATCACCCTTAAGTTCAGCAGCCACTCTAAGCTAGCCTGAGGAGATAAAGTCCACACTTGACATACAGTTCTTTACATTCCTCCAATGTCACACAGGCACATTCACTTTCAAAATGCAGAATAGTTTGGTCTGCATTTTTTTGCCAGTCTTATCTGCATTTAGAACCTGTGGTGGTGGTTTCTTTTTTGCCAAGATAACCCCAGGGACAAGCTTTTTTTTTTTTTTTTGACCCTCGCACACCCCAGGACTTTTATAATCTTTTTGCCCAACAACCCATTGTTGAATTTTACTTCGACATGCCTGTACTTTACTTCTTGAAACAACTAATTTCATTCTGCAGTTTAAAAAGCAAATCCAGTAAGAAACTCAGAATCACAATCGTATGCTCTTTCATAGTTATCCTAGCGTTAAAAAAGATGCAAATTTAGATGAGAACCGTGTGTACCAGGGGGCTGTGACATCATTTTAAAAGTAAACGATCACACAGTGAACAATGCCGTGCTCCCATTAATATTCAATACCTACTGTACAACATTTCAAATTAGAGTTTAGTTTCTTCGCTACCAGGATCCTAGCGCCATAGGCTGTAAGTATTCAAATGCTTCTCGACTGTGATTGAGTTGGCTATGACAGTCCGTCAATGGGTCTGCAGGATCCCATTTAGTTTTAGCAACTGTGGCTGGTGTCCAGGAATGCGTTCATGCGATCTGAAAGTAAGCCTCTGGCTTAGGACAGCGGGGGGAACCAATTTGATCTTAGGAGGGTCCCCGCAGAGTGTTTGAGTCGCGAGGCGGGCCGGGGCAGGCCGCGTGCTCCCAGGCGCTTCCTTTACCAAGATGGCTTCGGCGCCCCGGCCCACAGGGGCGGCCATCTTGGTAAGGGCTGGAGAGGCAGCCTGAAGGAGGCCACCGCTGGCCCTGCTGTCAGATTCGAAGGTCATAATAAGGGAGTGACCCGGCGACGACTCGCCCCAACGATGGCGAGGCGGCGAGAGCTGAAGCGCTGCCTGCAGCTGCTGGCGTCCTCGGCGGAGCCAGCGCGGCGGGCTCGGGTTAGGAAGAACCCGAGCTCCTGCCGCGGTCGCCCCTCCCGCTACGCGGCGGCGCTTTGCGCGGGGACTCTGTGGCCGGAAGCCGCGGAACTGAGGCGGCGCGCGCTCCCGGCCACCCCAAGCGCGAGGTGAGTCCGCACCCCCGCGCTCGCACCCCGCCGCTCTGGCCGCGCGCCCGCGGCCCGGGATCCCGAGTGTCCGGAGCTCCGTGGTTTCTGTTGGACCTCGCGGGAGGCGGTTTTCTCCCGCCTGCTGTGCTCTGTGACCTCTCTGCTGCCTCCTCCACGGTCTCTGGGCGGAGCAATCCACACTGCTGAGCCTGGGGTGGTTTGGAATTCTTCGGCGAAGTGGAGCGGGCTGAGAGTGGGTTTCCCGTCCCCGAGCCCTCCCTCATCTCGGAGATGCCGCACTTGTGAGCGACAGGGCTTCATTTGAATTTTCGCACCTCGCGAGTTGCGGAGCCTGCATCTCTGAAGCTGCCTCGGTGAAGAGCCACAGCATTATTTTTTTTCTCTTTGGGAGAGTAGCTGTCTGGGATTTGAGATCCTATCTTCCCTGCAAATTACCAGGTTGCATCTTCACTGATAGGAATACATGTGGGTTTATCTTCTTTTGGTTGTATGTAAATGAATGGGTCGACAACTTCCTCCGAGCAACTTATTGTTGCTTCATCTATAGTGTTTATCTTCTAAAAATCCATTCCAACAGGTTTCTCCCCTTTTATTTTGGAATAAGTGTACTTATTTAACTATGGAATGGAAATGAAGAGCAAAAAAAAAAATGGGGCTAGCTGGGGAGGGGTGGTGGAAGGCTGTGCTTTCTTGAGTTTTCTGTTCTGTGGTTGTTTGCTTCTTATAAATTGGGTATTATTGTGGGCTTTTCAGAACACGTATTCAGATAGGTTTTTGTTGTTGTTGTTTTGTTTGTTTTTTGCTTTTTTTTTTTTTCAAGCTAGAGCTCGATATGGTCCTGGTAGTTGAGGTAGATACTCTTCCATGGGTTCCGGGATCACATGCATTCATTATACGTCAGTTAAACCTGGAAAATATTAAGGGAGTGAGTAAAGTTTAACAGCCTTTTAAAAAGTCATTTAGTTCTTGTCTTTGCCTTTACTGTACGTTGTTATATATACATGTTATAATATGACTGACTCACCTGGTTGGCTTTGGCTTAGCATGAAATGTTTGCTACTTGATAATTCTGATTAATTTGTCCAGGAAGTCATTCCTGAGATGCAGTTCTTCAAATTGAGAAATAATTCCCATGTTTGTTAAAAAATGGAAATCTCTAACATTTCCATTTCTATTTTCAGTTACATTGGTTATGAATTAGCCGCAGACATGGACATCGTTTAGAAAGAAGTTATGTAATCTTTAAAAAGAAGATTACCTATATCCCACAATAGTGTGATTTTTGTTGCAAGAAAATACTGGGTCTGTTAAAGAAGAAATTTAGGGTAAAAGTACTTATTTAAAATAATAATTTAAGAGAGAGATTGAGGGGTTAAATTTGTTTCAAGTCAACTGAAAATATAGTCAGGATTTTCAGAGATTTTGTTTTGTTAACATTCTGCAGGCTTTCCTGCTACAAGAATTATGGTAAGTCTCCAAGAGATAAAAATACTTAGTGTATTTCTCATACCCTTATTTTCACTCAGAATTCCAAATTATATTGTAGAAATTCTATGTTACAAAATTCTAATTTTAAAATTAGTCCAGTTATAACTATATGAAGAACATTTTAGCATAAGCATTCCATCACAGGGTTTTGGTTATACTTTAGTTGATACAGTCATTCTTGTGTTTGTTCGAAAGGGGTATTATGTTACTTTGAGTATTTGTGAGTTTGGTAAACTGAGAGGATTTTTATGAACATTTAGTCTGTGTTTGGAAAAGCAGTATTTGCCTTTAATTTTGTTGTTTCATTCTGCTTTTTCTTTGTGGTGATGGATAGCTGTGGATATAGTGAGTTTTTCCATTGCTTTCTACACTTTGTAAATAAGAATATAGCTATAGCTGGAGGACTGTTGATCTGGGCTTTTTAGGTTGAAATGCATACACATAAAAAGTGTTTTCATTGAAGTATTATTAGGGAAATGAACTGTATGTATAATTAATCGTTAAAGAGCACTTTTATTCTGGAGGCCAGTGAGGGCATGCATAAAACTGGCATTAAAATATCACCCATGTGATTTCCAGCATAAGATTCAAGTAATATTTCATTCTAACGCCTATACTACTGAATAATTCTGTCTACAATTTATAGTGCTTTGCTTGATTTGTCTTTTGAATTTATTAACCATTTATTGTGTATTTAAGTATTTTACTAACAGACTTTGGAGACAGATTGCATACGAACTCATATATCCCCAGGGGCAGTTTTATGTTAGAGATAGTCTTCTGCAACCTCAGCTGGTTAAATAATATGTATTATAACTTTATCATTTACAAAGCTCTTTCAAATATTTTAAATATATGTATATATAGAGAGAGAGTTTGATTTTATAGACATAAAATATGAGCCTTGTTCCACAGATGAGGAAAATAGGACACCAAGAGCCTGGGAGAGTCTGGTGATTTGGCCAAGGAACCTTAGCTCAGCAGCCCCAGCCTTCAGCAGAATATATATACTGCAGACTCTTGTTACAGCGGGGTTCCAATGAAGCAAAAGTGGAGGGGTGTGGATTAGCAAGCGTTGGTCAGCAACACACTCACAGATTGCACCCCTGCCTTTGGGTAACAGGTTGTGAATGGCCAGTGCTGTTGGCTCTGGAGGCACAGGTCTGGCATGTAGATGGATCAGCATAATTCAAAATCTTGATTGAAAAACAACTCAGTTTGTGCCTGCTACCTGGAACAATCCATTTTTCCCCTTGAAGGTGCAGACTCTTGTGTTTATCTAATTTGGGCACCTTCCCAGATTAAGGGACAGTAATATATTGATTTAACACTGAATGCCTGTAGGCTTCTGCGTGATTTTGTAATCTCTCTCAATTACAAGAATGAATAGAGAAACACCAAGCTTTCTCATTGTCACTAGCACTCTTGAACTGGTCACATCTTTTTTTTTTTTTTTGAGACGGAGTCTCGCTCTGTCACCCAAGCTAGCGTGCGGTGGGGCAATCTCGGCTGACTGCAACCTGTGCCTCGTGTGTTCAAGCGATACTCATGCCTCAGCCTCCTCAGAAGTTGGAATTACAGGCATGTGCCACCACACCCAGCTAAAACTGGTCACATCTTAATAGGACACCCGGATGACAGCAGTCATTAGTTTTGAAAGTTATTATTTTCTGTATTTTGAAGGTCCTTCAATTACAAAGATGTTCTCTGTTCAAGTTACTGTGTTTGTTCCTTCAGTTTGTTTAGAGAGCTCATGGAAAGCTCTCTAAACTAAGCTGTCTATATATTCTGAACATATATGTGTGTGCGTGCGTGCATGTGTGTGTGTTTTCCAGAATGTTGTGCTATTTTATGGTAAAAGTAGCCAATGAAAGCTTAAAGAGTTTCTGGACTCAAATTCTTTTTTTTTTTTAAACTTGAAGCCAAACTAAGTAAAATACCCCACATAAAGTAAAATGTGTCATTTATCTTCCTATGCTGATTGTATGCCCCTTCGGTTCCAAGTGTTTTTAAGCATAATTAGGGTGACAGCATGGCTGATACGTAGTCCAGGCTCCATCATCAGCCAGAGCTAGATCCTTGGAATGTCATGTAACTCTCTGGCCTGACTTGGTTTACCGATTAGGTAAAAGGGTCACACAAGTGATGACTTCTGTCATGGAATGTTCAAGTTGGAAGGGACCTTAGAGGGAATGTACCTGGTCCAATCTCTTTAATGTGCAGATTTTTAATTTCTGCTGTCACAGGAGTTTAGCCTGTCATGATTACCTCAAAATTGAAACATTGAAATTAGGCTTTTCCACCATTTCACAGATATGAAATACTTTACAATTCTTGGCTGAAAGTTGATTTTCTTTCTCAATCTTTCCTCATATAGTGTCTCACTTTTATGTGTAGACTAAATGCCCATTGTATATAAATGTACATGTGCTGTTTGGAGCCTCTTTTTTAGCTGGGTGAACGCTAATACTGATGATGCACATATTGAATATCATCAGAATGAAGAATTTGATCTAATAAACTTTTTTGGTATTCTTAGCAACATTGTCTTAGTTAAGCCTGATTATGTATAGCATTATAATTTTTTTCTTTTGCTTAGCCACCCGAATACCTTCACATCTTACTTTATAATCTTCATCTTCAATTTAGTTTAAACTGCGCACACATTTATAAATTTTTTTGAAGATATGACTATGCATTTATATGGTCACCTGAGACATAGAATGATCAACCCTCCAGGTTTTCCCAGAACCAAGGGAGTTCCCAAGATGCAGGAATTTTTTTTTTTGAGACAAGAGTCTTGCTGTGTTGCCCAGGCTGGAGTGCAGTGGCTCAATCTCAGCCTACTGCAACCTCCACCTTCAGGTTCAAGCAATTCTTGTGCCTCAGCCTCCTGAGTAGCTGGGACTACAGGCATGCACTACCATGCCTGGCTGATTTTTGTATTTTTAGTAGAGACAGAGTTTTGCCATGTTGGCCAAGCTGGTCTCGAACTCCTGGCCTCAAATGATCTGCTTGCTTCATTCAGCCTCTGAAAGTGCTGGGACTACAGGTGTGAGCCACCACACCTGGCCTAAGATGCAGGACTTTAAATGTTAACACTGGGAAATCCTCAGGCAAACTAGATATGTTGATCCTCCTACCTGACAGTTTCTCTTTATGGGACTTGACTAGCCATTCTCCCCAGCTTGAAAGATAACATGTTAGGTGGTTTTATGCTGGATAAACTGAGACACCTTTTGAAAGCAAAGGAAATGTCTTCAAGGTACCATGTGTATTTTGTTTATGTGACTAAAATACAGAACCAATTATTTGTTGATGGTTCTTTTCAATGTAACTGTAAATTAGAAAAATTGAGTAATGAAAGTTATAGCATTTGAAACCTTCTTCATGTAAAATTAAAGGGGCAATTATATTTATAAGAGAACTAGTATTTATTGAGCATCTCCCAAGTACCTTTTACTTTGCAAAAGGGAAGAAAATTTTGTTGAAAGCCAAAAAAACAAAACAAAAGAAAAGGTGAGCCTTGTCAGTGAGACCATAACTGTTTGCTAAATGCTACTAACTTTAGAACCTAGGTATCTACTCAAGATAAATTTATTGAATTTTCCTTGCAGATTCAACATGATTAGTGGAAAGAGCATGGGCTTTGGCATCTGGTCAACTTGGGTTTCATCCCTAGATCCAACTGTTAACAACTTTATTGCTTTATGGAAGCTATTAAACTCTGTGAGCCTCTTTTACATCACCTATAGCATGAGGATAATAATTATCTAAAGTGCTTGGTACATAGTAAATGCTTAGTAAATGATAAATGGACCAGGTGCCGTGGCTCCTGTCTGTAATCCCAGCACTTTAGGAGGTCAAGGCAGGAGGATTGCTTGAGGCCAGGAGTTCAAGGCTGCAGTGTGTTGATCAAGGCACCCACATATGGATTAGGAAAGCTGTATTTTGGGCATTTGTTACCATTGGTGTTTTTATAGCTCCCCTAAACCTGAACCTCCCAGTTACGGTAATCGTATCAGTTAGGATTAATTTGTTGTGATTTGAAAGATTGCTCAAATATGTTTTTCCTACACATGAAAGAAGTCCAAAGTTGGACAGTTCAGGCTTGGTATGGTGGGCCCTGAAGTCCTTCTGGCTCTCCTCGATGCCATTCCTTGGATGTGGCACCCTCCTGGCTCAAGATGGCTCCAGGTAGCCAGATGCAGGACAAATCGAGAAGAATGCCTCCCTTTCCCTTAAGGAGACTTCTGGAAGCACCATAAAAGGCTCGTATCACATTGTTCAAAGTGTCACCAACCTGGCCATCCCTAGCTAGAAGGCTGAGAAATGTCATCATTTAGCTGATGCATAGTTACCCTAAGTAAAACGGGTTCTGTTACTGAGAAGAAAAGGAAGAGAAGATTTTTTTTTTTTCTAAATACATGACAGATTAAAGAACACTAGATTTTATGGCAGGCATCTTTTCGTCTTTACCACTGTGCTGCCGCTTTACCACATAGAATTTAACTACTCAATTATTCCCCAAGACTTTTCTATTTTTATTTATTTATATTTATTTATTTATTCTTAGACAAGCTCTTGCTCTGTCACCCAGGCTGGAGTGCAGTGGCATGATCACGGCTCACTACAGCCTTGACCTCCTGGGCTCAAGCAATCCTCCTGTCTCAGCCCGCCACACCTGGCTAATTTTTGCGTGTGTGTGTTTGTTTTTTTTTTTGTTTGTTTTTTGTTTTTGTAGAGACAGAGTCTCACTATGTTGCCCAGGGTGGTCTTGAACTCCTGGGCTCAAGTGATCTGCCTGCCTTGGCCTCCCAACGTGTTGGGATTACAGGTGTGAGCCCCTGTACCTGGCCAGTTTTAATTTTTGTTAGCAGAGTTGGTGGGGATCTCCACTGTTGACTTTTGTCTCTCTGTCTTCTGGTCATTTTTGCTTCTATTATTTGACTCCTAGCAGGAGATCTTTTAAAAAACAATTAACTGTATCCCAATGAAGAGTGATTAGGAGTTTAAGCTCTGGTTTTTTCATTTATTCATTCCATAAATATTGTGCACTCATTGTGTACAGGCTGCTTTGTGTTATTGACAATGTGAATCATTACTGATTATATTTCCCTTTTTTTGACTTGGCTTCCTGGGGGCACAGAGTCAAATTTGTGACTCAGTTGGATTGAGTACAAGCCTTGCCCTGTCAAACTTTCTTTTTTTCTGTCACCCAGGCTGCAGTGCAGTGGCACGATCTTGGCTCACTGCAACCTCTGCCTCCCTGGTTCAAGTGATTCTCCCACTTCAGCCTCCCAAGTAGCTGGGATCACAGCCGCCTGCCACCATGCCTGGCTATTTTTTGTATTTTTAGTAGAGATGGGGTTTCACCATGTTGGCCAGGCTGGTCTCGAACTCCTGACCTCAAATGATCCACCTGCCTCGGCCTCCCAAAATGCTGGGATTACAGGCATGAGTCACCATGCCTGGCCCCTGTTAAACTTTCTACCTAGCAATGTGGTTAGTCTTCCCATCCCACTGTATAGCAGTTTCAGGATGATGCTGCCTCTCTAACTTGGAGTGCTGAACAGGAAGTAAGAGTTGGCTTTACGGTAGGCAGCTGCCAGGCTAGCATAAATTCTGGCATACCAGAAAATCCCTTTGATCCTTCCTAAATGCTTGTCTTACTTTGTGCCAAATGACTAATGATTTAAAGCAGTGGTTCTCAACCCTGCCTGTATATCAGAAACACCCACAGAACTTTTAAAAATTATCTAGAGAAACTGCCCCACCTGACATTTTGATTCAGTAGCCTCGGGTGTAGTTTAAAAAGCTCCACAGGGGAGCTCTTTCCTTTCGCTGCTGTGGCCGCAGCCTTGAGTATGCTCAGGCTTCAGAAGAGGCTTGCCTCTAGTGTCCTCTGCTGTGGCAAGAAGAATATCTGGTTAGACCCCAATGAGACCAATGAAATCACCAATGCCAACTCCCGTCAGCAGATCCGGAAGCTGATCAAAGATGGGCTGATCATCCGCAAGCCTGTGATGGTCCATTCCCCCGCTTGATGCCGGAAAAACACCTTGGCCTGCCGGAAGGGCAGGCATATGGGCATAGGTAAGCGGAAGGGTACAGCCAATGCCCGAATGCCAGAGAAGGTCACGTGGATGAGGAGAATGAGGATTCTGCACCGGCTGCTCAGAAGATACCGTGAATCTAAGAAGATTGATCGCCGCATGTATCACAGCCTGTACCTGAAGGTGAAGAGGAATGTGTTAAAAAACAAGCAGATTCTCATGGAACACATCCACAAGCTGAAGGCAGACAAGGCCCGCAAGAAGCTCCTGGCTGATCAGGCTGAGGCCCGCAGATCTAAGACCAAGGAAGCACACAAGAGCTATGAAGAGCACCTCCAGGCCAAGAAGGAGGAGATCATCAAGACTTTGTCCAAGGAGGAAGAGACCAAGAAATAAAAGCTGCCCCTTTGTGTGTACATACTGGCCTCCGTGATTACATAGATCAGCCATTAAAGTAAAATAAGCCTTTATCTGCTTGCAAAAAAAAAAAAAAAAAAAAAACTCCACAGGTAATTCTGATGTACATTTGAGGTTTCAGGGCTTGTACCCATGTGGACTGGAAATGATCTAGGGAGGATTTGCACTTTGTTCCTTATCTGTCACACACTGGAAATCAGATCTTTCTTGAAAACCTGTTTTGGCCATGGAAAAAGCAGATGGGGGGAACAATATGATAGTAGAGTCACTTGGGTAAGAGAGGCAAGAATACTGAAATGCTTTAGGGGAAACTTATTTACTCGTGATTTATGTAGAGCTGGCCTTGCTTGCCTATTTTGCCAGCTCCCATTGTGGGAAATTTTTCCTTTGAGCAAAAGAATCTGTTTAACTGGAGCTTCAAGCTCTGGGAAAAGTGCTGAGTCTGCATGTGGCCACCATTAGTATCATGAGTTTTCAGCTTCTGCTCCTTGGGCCAGTGAAGGGAGATAAAGGGAAGTCAGGTAGATTATTATTTTCAGAATCAGGAGACTATCAATGAGTCTTCTGAGCTAATGAGAGCCTTCTGGTGACTCCAGGAGGGTTAGTGAGGCCACAAGGAACTATGAGGTCGGGTAGGAATCCTGTTTTGAATTAAGAGTTCTGCACTTTGGGAGGCCAAGGCGGGCAGATCACGAGGTCAGGAGATTGAGACCGTCCTGGCTAACATGGTGAAACCCCGTCTCTACTAAAAATACAAAAAAATTAGCCGGGCGTGGTGGCGGGCTCCTGTAGTCCCAGCCACTTGGGAGGCTGAGGCAGGAGAATGACGTGAACCCGGGAGGCGGAGCTTGCAGTGAGCCGAGATCACGCCACTGCACTCCAGCCTGGGCGACTGAGCAAGACTCTGTTTCAAAAAAAAAAAAAAAAAAAAAAAAGAGTTCTGTGAATTCCAAGATCAGGCCTTCTCTTACTCAAATAGAACAAAAACACATTCCAGAGTTTATTCTGCTTCAGTTTATTCATACCATTTCCCTCAGCTTCCTTATCACATTAGTGTAGAAATGCAAAAATGGTATACATGTATATCCTACTATCTCATTAAAACTGTTACTGTTTATAGCATAATGAAACAGTGGCTTAGTTATTCAGTGCTTACTATGTACTGTGTGCCAGAGACTGGGCTAGGAATTATGAAACTGAGGTTTAGGATGATGAGGGGCAAAGTTGGGAAGCATTTATTTTAAGATGTTTTCAATTCTTTTGCCCCATCTTCTGGTAATGTGGTTTTTCCTGATAACCCATTCAAGCATATTTTAGTTATATTCATTTTTAATATGCTTTTATAATTTGCTACAAACTTTCTGCTATTCTTAAACAGAGGCTACTGAATTGAACTCAGGGATCTTAAAGTCCCTTAGAACCTCAAGATTCTATTAACCTTTTGGGGATATCTCTAGCCTCACTCTGACCCTGTTATTTACAGTGTACAGAAGACTCAGGAGATGGCTGAACAGGGTCTGATGTAGTCATGTCCTGGGCCTTGTTTCCCTGTAAAAGTCTCACTGTTCGTTTATTTTTTTGTCATTTTTCTCCCAGAGGATGGACCACGCATGACACTGCGGGCAGAATAACATGTCTGCCCCTTTGCCAAATTCATTTGTGAGTGAATCAGGGTTCAAGTAACCTCTCTAGTGACTTTGTTTCTTTCCATCACCCTCTCTGTTGCCATCAGCGCCCTTTAACTTGTTGGCTGAATTCAGAAAGTTCTGAGCTTTTCAGTGTCTCTGACCTGCTGGATCACAGGACTCTTGCTGTCACTGTGGACCGCTCAGCACTTAAGGAAAAGTATTCCTCACCATCTTGAGAATTTGGCCAGTATGTTTTGGAAATGCCTTATTCTAAAGTCTATACCATTTTCATTAATCAGAGCTGACACTTCTGTAAATGTGATACTGAGCCAAAATCTATATGGTTTCTTATGATTTTTTTCCCTAATGGATTTTGAATCCCTGGAGGTCAGGGGTTCATATTCTCCACAGCAACTGGAGAGCTAGGACTTAGATAAAGTAGACATTCTAACAATGTTTGTTAAATGCAACTTTTAAAATGCTTTAAGTAGAAGCCCTTACAAGTAATATCTGGAATCTTTTTAAGTTTGAAAATCTAATGGCTATTTGTATCAGATTTATATGTCCTGGCTCTTAATAACCTCCTAGCCTACCTGATAAACCTGTGAAATTGCACTTTCTTCCAGTAGATAACTATGCTGTTCTCAGGTGAAATACTTCGCTTATCCCTTGCCAGTCCAGCCTGGGGAAGGCAGCTGGACCTGAGCTGGGAATTTTATTTGAGGGAGTGGAAATAGGAGGGGTTGGCCAAGGCTGAGTTAGAGGGGACAGCTCTTTAGTGGCCTGAGCTGGCTCTTTGGTGCAGCCGAAGATTGTTAGAATTTTAGAGGTGGAGAGACTTTAGAGATACATCCCAGTCCTCTATTTTACAGATGAATGAAAGTGAGTCTCAATGATGTTAAGTGACTTTTTAAAGGCTACAGAAGGCTGGGTGTGGTGGCTCACGCCTGTAATCCCAGCACTTTGGGAGGCCGAGGCGGGTGGATCACCTGAGGTCGGGAGTTCAAGACCAGCCTGGCCAACATGATGAAACCCTGTCTCTACTAAAAATACAAAAAATTAGCTGGGTGTGGTGGTGCGTGCCTGCGATCCCAGCTACTCAGGAGGCTGAGGCAGGAGAATCGTTTGAACCTGGGAGGTGGAGGTTGCAGTGAGCTGAGATCGCACCACTGGACTCCAGCCTGGGCAACAAAAGCAAAACTCTGACTCAAAAAAAAAAAAAGGGCTGTAGAATTCAGTAGAGTCAAAGTTGGAACTGGACTGAAGTCAGAAAGAAGTGAAAAGTGTGCTTTTTTCCCTCTTTCTCTGTCCTATCCAGGAGCTATGAAGACATGTTTCTCCTTTCCGTTTCTTTACAGGTTATGCATTAAATTGGAAGGTTTTCTTTTTGTATACGTAATTATGAGATGGAGATAGTAGAGAGAAAGTAGTCCCATTTTGGAAGCTTTTTTTTGGTTAAAATCTTGGCTCAGGGACAGTAAATGAACATTTAAGATCATCTACCTGCCTGGCCAACATGGTGAAACCCCATCTCTACTAAAAACACAAAAATTAACCAGGCTTGGTGGCGCATGCCTGTAATCCCAGCCACTCGGGAGGCTGAGGCACGAGAATCGGTTGAACCTGGGAGATAGAGGTTGCAGTGAGCCGAGATTGCACCATTGCACTCCAGCCTGGGTAACAGAACGCGACTCCGTCTCAAAAAAAAAAAAGAAAAAAAGCAAAAAAGAAAGATCATCTGACATATTTAGGACGCATTTCAAGTTCCACAGGCATCAACTTACTGTTCCTCCTACCTTGTCCTCCCCCAACCTTTTTTTGGTTTTCCTTTCTTTTCTTCTTTCTTTCTTTTTCTTTTTCTTTTCTTTTTTTTTTTTTTGAGACAGCATCTTGCTCTGTCACCCAGGCTGGAGTGCAGTGGCTCAATTACAGTTCACTGCAGCCTTTACCTCCTGGGTTCAAGCAGTCCTCCCACCTCAGCCTCCTGAGTAGCTGGGACTACAGATGCGCACCACCACACCTGGCCTGACCTTTTCAATTAAATACTTATGTATATCATTTAGGTATAATTGATTATACCGGAAATGAACCTGCACTTTGTGCTTGCTATTATTTTTTAAGGTATTAAAGAGATGATAACTATGTTATTTCAATAAATATTTTATGCATGTTTTCCAAATTTACCGTAACATGATATTTTAATTTGATCACCCTAAGGATTCCAGTCATAAAAGGTATTCATAAATAGGCTTTGTTCTTAAGCCAGCTGTTTCTCTTGTTTCATTCTTTTTGATTCTAATGAAAGCTTTGCTTTCTTACATATGGGGAAAACCTCTTATTATAGAGGAAGTTTCTAGAGTGTTTATGTATTTTGGTGACTTAAAGTCTGTTAATATACTGTATCCCAAAGATACAAATTGCGTTTTGCATTCTTTCCTCTCAGAACTATTTATTTGGGGCCGGAAGCAGTGGCTCATGCCTGTGATCCCCAGCACTTTGGGAGGCCAATGCGGGCAGATCACGAGGTCAGGAGTTTGAGACCAGCCTGGCCAACATGGTGAAACCTGTCTCTACTAAAAATACAAAAATTAGTTGGGCATGGTGGCGGGCACCTGTAATCCCAGCTATTTGGGAGGCTGAGGCAGGAGAATCACTTGAATCTGGGAGGTGGAGGTTGCAGTGAGCCGAGATTGCACCACTGCACTCTAGCCTGGGCAATGAGAGCAAAACTCCATCTCAAAACAAACAAACAAACAAACAATTTATTTGGACTCTTAAATGCTTTTGGTTGGTTGGCATTTCTTTGTGAATTATTTGTCAAAATAATTTTTTGTCTATAATTGGATGAATGCTTTGCGACAAATTTGAAGTTTTAACAAAAGAAAATACATTTTTTTAAAAGGTAACAAAACTTACTTACTTTTATAGTCTTGTTACGTGAAATTAAGGAAAGAAAAATGAAAAAAATTCGGTAACTTAGGCTTTTAAAGCCATATGAAATTCTAGAATGTTTTATCTTTCACCTGAAAAACAACTCAGTTGGATCAAAAGGTCCTATTTATCATATATTCTTTACTCTTCAATTTGCATTTTTTTTTTTTTTTTTGTGAGACAGAGTCTTGCTCTGTCGCCCAGGCTGGAGGGCAGTGGTGCAATCTTGGCTCACTGCAACCTCTGCCTCCAGGTTCAAGTGATTCTCCTGCCTCAGCCTCCCAAGTAGCTGGGACTACAGGTTCGGGCTGCCATACACAGATAATTTCTTTTTGTATTTTTTTTTTTTTTTAGTAGAGACAGGGTTTTGCCATGTTAGCCAGGCTGTTCTCGAACTCCTGAGCTCAGGCAGTCTGCCCACCTCGTCCTTCCAAAGTGCTAGGATTACAGGTGTGAGCCACTGCTCCCAGCCTCAACAATTTGCATTTTTTTTTTGAGGTGGGGTCTCACTCTGTCACCCAGGCTGGAGTGCAGTGGCATGATCTCAGCCCACTGCAACGTCCACCGCCTGGGTTTAAGTGATTCTCCTGCCTCAACCTCCCGAGTAGCTGGGATTACAGGCACGCACCACCACTCTTGGCTAAGTTTTTTGTTTTTTTTTTAATAGGGTTTTGCCATGTTGGCCAGGCTGGTCTCGAATTCCTGTCCTTGGCCTCCCAAAGTATTGGGATTACAGGCATGAGGCACCACAACTAGCCAGCAATTTCCATATGTATAGCACTTTAAACTACTAACTCATGGTCTCCTTAAATGACTAACAGACATTTAAAACAACGTTTAGGAGTTACAATCTTTATTGAACAGATGAATAAGCCCAAGTTTAGAGAGGCTGAGTTACTCCCTGCAAGCTAACATCTCTAGTTAATAGTAGAACTGGAGTCCAGTTTTTCTGACTCCTAACTAGTGTTCTTTCCACTCTAGTGAAGATAAATTGTTTGGTGATATATATATATATAGATTTATATGTACATATATCTAAATGTATATTATGCGTGTATGTTCTATTTTTGATGCAATAATTATTATTAAATGTTGTCATACTCTCAGATCCTGTATATTAAGCTTCTGTTTGCTTTGTTTTCTTTTAGCTTCTTAGCAAAACTGGTTGTTTTGCTAAGTCAATAAAGTGTGGTAAGAATGAAGTTCAGTGATAACAGTGCAATACTTTTTTGGTTGATGAATGTTGTATACATACCTCCCACAGAACATTCTCCCTCTTATTATCCAGTGTACTTCCTGTGCTTGGATGTATCTGCCCTCCCACTGGTTCCCTAAATGCCTCTGGGAGTAATACCAGTATTGCCTGGAATCTTATTGAATGTGAAGGATGGGAACAGTTTAATTTTACCCCCACTGAAGCCCTTTGCAGACATTTCAGTGAATTGACGTAGTTTCATTAGCCATGTTATCTAGCATTGTATCAAAAGGGCCCTTTCTCTTCAATAAGGATAAGGAGAGCAAATACAGAATAGTAAGTTTAATGTTATTTAGTCAGAGATATCTGAAAATACACTTCTGAATACTTTCCAGATTTAACATCAGCATCTTTGTTGTTACGTAATGGACAAGAACTCAATTAGTATTTATTAAATGTCTACTCTGGGAATGATTTGCCGCTTCATAATTTATGAGTGTGTTGAAATCCCAAATGTATGTTTTACTACTGTGATTTTTTTCTTTAGCTGTTTACATGATAAAGCAGTGCATTGAATTCTAGGCAGTTGGCAAATCTTAAATGTTGAAAAAAGAAAGCATGAAACATTTGCTTTTGAAATAGAGAATTCTTATTTTTTGAAAGCATTTTACCCATATGTGCAGTTATTGAGAGAAAATATTTGTACTTGGCTGACTTGTCTTCACCAAATGTCACAGCCCAGACCTCTCTTTGGTTGGAGACACAGGGATAAGTCCTTCTGCTCTTAAATAGGCAATTAATCTTCAAAAAATGTAGAGAATGTCCTTGATAATTACTAGATGGACTTTATGTTGTCCTTTTTGTAATACATTGTTCTTTAAAAAAGAACATTTGTTTTATTTTTTATTTTTATTTATTTATTTATTTTGAGATGGAGTCTCACTCTGTCGCTCAGGCTGGAATCTCGGCTCACTGCAACCTCTGCCTCCAGGGGTCAAGTGATTTTCCTGCCTTAGCCTCCTGAGTAGCTGGGACTACAGGCATACACCACCATGCCTAGCTAATTTTTGTATTTTTAGTAGAGATGGGGTTTCACCACGTTGGCCAGGCTGGTCTCGAACTCCCGACCTGAGGTGATCCACCTGCCTCGGCCTGCCAAAGTGCTGGGATTACAGGCATGAGCCACTGTGCCTGGCTAGAACATTTGTATTTTATATTTAAAATACAATTGTCACAGGGGTTTGTTACCTTTAAATTTTCTTCTGGATTCTAGTTTTCTAGAACAAATTTAGCATTTGGTATGTTTATAACTAACTGTTGTTCACAGAGGGAAAGAGGATGAGCAATTAATTATGCTTCTGATTATATTTAATTATCAAGAGCAATGTTTTCACTCCTGTCCCAACGTATTTATTTTCCAACACAAAATGCTATATTTCATCCATTTTGAGATAGACATTTTATTCACATTTTAACACCACTGATATCACTATATGTCATGTATAACGTGTGACCTAACTATAATTGATAACATTTTTACTTCCTTAGTGGCACATGACACATCAGGGTGCCTTACAATTCATGGTATTTTTATTTATTTATTACTTATTTGTTTAGATTGCTCTTTCAGAATTCATGGATCTTAAATTGAATCAAAATCAGTACAATGGAAAGATCTTTATCAAGTTTTAAAGCACTTTTTGAAACACAGGTTGTTTACAGTTTTTGTGTATTCATGTACACATCTACTTTCAGTTGGTGTTGGCCTGAAATCAAGGGTGGATTATTTTCATTTACATTGTTAATTTTGGAAACAGTTACATAACAAGAAATAGTTTGAAATTTGCCACATTTAATTACAGAAACTCTAGCTAGATATGTTAAGGGGTTTGTCAAGCTTGAAGAGCTCAAAGCTAGTTAACACAGGACCATACAGACAACCCACTCTTCCTCATTCCTACTTTTTCTGTCATTTTATCTGTGGTCTTCTGAGTGCCCAGAAGACACTGGGCATGAGGAGCGTTCTTGTGTGACCCACTCTCGGGCTGAGGCTCCTTTGTCACTGGAGCACCTGTTGGCAGAGCGTGTCATTTTGCACATTCAGCAAATGGGCTCCCAGTATTTTTCCTCCAGAAAAACCAGTCCAGAGTTTCAAGGCTCAGGTTTTACGTGCTTCTGCTCCTTCTTGCCCTTTCAACAGTGCATCGTGTGAAATGGTGTTTCATAGTTTGATCATTTTGTGTTGCTTTAACATCTGTCATGGATGGCAGTCCATAATCCTGTGACTATACATTTCCCCATACCCCAAGGATATGACAACGTGGCAGTTGGTCGCCCTGAAGTGGGTACATGATACATCTGAGGAAATAGTTTCAGGCCGTGTTTATGGAGCAGAGGAGAGTGTGGAGAGTGTGGGTAAGGTTAGAAACACAGACCCTGTGAACCATCATGCTGACCTTTGCCCTCAAAAAACCCTTTGGAGGTTTTTTCGTTTTGTTTGTATCAGATTTTTTTGTTTTTTGTTTTTTAAAGAGCATTTCTGAAAACTGGACTTTGTGTGTGTTAGGGGAGGGGGTTTGTTAGGAGAGGATGGCTATTTGGTAATGAGACCTGTTTCCACAGATTGATTGGGGTGAAAGACTGAGTGGATGGGAGGTGAGGAAATGGAGATTGTGTGAATAGACAACTTTGAAAAAGCTTATTATTTAGAGAGAAGAAAGATCACTGCACCAATTTTTTCTTTTCTCTTCTTTTTGTTTCTTTTCTTTCTTTCTTTCTTTGAGACGGAGTCTCGCTCTGTCGCCCAGGCTGGAGTGCAGTGGCATGATAACAGCTCACTGCAGCCTCAACTTCCTGGGCTCAAGGGATCCTCCCAGTAGCTGGGACTACAGGCCTGCAACACCACAGTGGGCTAATTTATTTATTTTTATTTTTATTTTTTATTTTATTTATTTATTTATTTTTACCCCTAAAGCAGCCTGAATCCATTTCCTTTGGGTGTCAATGAGGACTTTCTCTTGGGTTCTTGCTTTCCCATGACCTCAAACCCTTCTCAAACTCACTGGGTCACAATCCACCTTGATTAGTGGTGCTGCCATTTCTGACTCTTCCCACTCTCCTCCTGACCAACCAGCCCTACAAAGTCCAAAATTTGTGACTATCCAAATACTCTCAAGTCTTACTGATTCATCTTCTTTGTTGTCTCTTGGATTTATTCTGCTTTTTCTCTTCTCATTGCACTGCCTCCTCATCTTTTGACTGGGTTGCTATTCACTATTAAAAAGTGGGGATTATAATACCTACCTTGAGGGTTTGCTAGGAGCATGAGTTTAAATGAAATAGGTGAAATATGTGGCATGGTGGTTCAGTGTTATTGGGTGTTCTAGGCTTCTTCTGTTTTCATTCAATCCATCTCCCAAGCTCCAGTTTTTAGCCACTTCCTTTCTTTTTAATCCTGCTATCAGAGTTGTCTTCCCTAAGTACATCATTTTCTTTTTAGACGGAGTCTCCGCAACCTCCGCCTCCTGGGTTCAAGCAATTCTCCTGCCTCAGGCTCCCAAGTTGCTGTGACTGCAGGCACGCGCCACCACGCCCGACTAATTTTTGAATTTTTAGTAGAGACGAGCCTTCACTGTGTTGGCCAGGCTAGTCTCGAACTCCTGACCTCGTGATCCACTCGCCTCGGCCTCCCAAATGGCTGTGATTACATGCATGAGCCACTGTGTCCAGCCCTTAAGTACACAGCCTTTTAAGTGTGTTCAGTGTTTCCCCATTGCTTGCAGTGTAGCCTAACCTCCTTAGAGGGAGTCCAGGCTCACAATCTAGTCCCATCTTTACTGTCCAGTCTTTTAACCCTCTATAGTCTCGACTTTCACAAACCTTCCTTGCTTTTTTTTTTTTTCCCCTTGAGACAGAGTCTCACTGTCACCCAGGCTGGAGTGCAACAGCGCGATCTCGGCTCACTGCAACCTCTGCCTCTAGGGTCCAAGTGATTCTCCTGCCTCAGCCTCCTGAGTAGCTGGGATTGCAGGCACAGGTCCACCACGCCCGGCTACTTTTTGTATTTTTAGTAGAGACAGGGTTTCACCATCTTGGCCAGGCCAATCTTGAACTCCTTGTCTCAGGTGAGTCATCTGCCTTGGCCTCCTGAAGTGCTGGAATTATAGGCGTTGAGCCACTGCGCCTGGCCCTTCCTTGCTTTTTATGTCCTAGCTACATTAGACCACTAGATGTTGTTCAAAACCCTATTTTGATGTTGTCTTTGTGGTCTTTGAATCAAAGTGTCCTTTTTTCCTTTCTCCCTTATCCCTTCATTGTTTAAAACAATGAGCCAAACATTTATTAATGTATTTGGTAGAATTATGATATATATGTGTATATATATACATACATATGTATATGTATATGACAAATACAGATATCTCATAAGCTGTTTTATCATGACAAGGAGTAGCATGAGGTCACTTCTGCCATCTGTTGGACATATTGTCTTTTTGAGAAGTAACTTAAACTCTCTAAACTTGTACATTTTCATCTGTTAAACGAAGTGAGGTTCAGATGGATGGTCATTGTTTCTGCTCTTTGTAAAGTCCTTGGCCTGAACTTAATTATAACCCAGAAAAAGTGATTCTATGAGAGCTTACTCTCCGAGACCACTTTAAGTTCTAGAATAACTTAAAGAATTTAGCTATAATCCTAGCACTTTGTGAGTCCGAGGAGGCAAGCAGATTGCTTGAGCCCAGGAGTTCCAGGTCAGCCTGGGTAACACGGTGAAACCCCATCTCTACTAAAAAATAAAAAAACTAGCCAGGCATGGTGGCACACACCTGTGGTCCCAGCTACTTGGGAGGCTGAGGTGGGAGAATACCCTGAGCCCCGGGAGGTTGAGGCTGCAATGAGCCGTGATTGAGCCACTGTATTCCAGCCTGGGTGACAGAGTGAGACCCTGTCTCAAAAATAAAAAAAAATAAACAATTTAGATGTATGGCCAGTTAACAAGATTAGGGAAAAGAAGAATGAGCATTTGTGAGTGCCAAGTACATTATGTACCTGTGCCATTTGATCCTTTGAGAGAAACCTCCACAGGTAGGTAGATAGTTTACCAGGAGAAAATGGAGGATGAGAAAGGGTAGGCTATTTGCCCAAAGTATAAATCTTGTTAGACTCTCTCTTAACTCTTGAGCTCTCCCACATACAGCGATGGCTGAGCAACAGCGTGTGCTTTAGCTTTAGTCAGCTGGGGTTTCTTTTCTTCACAGTGATTCTTCTCTAGATTACAGACTGCTTACTCTAGACAGTTTGGAAAAAAAGTTTTGGTTCTGTGTACGTATTCATCCTAGGGTTTGTGTTTTTCCCTTTCTTTCTGGGGCAGTATTTCTATTTAAACACCATTGTAGCCATAAAAATAATATTTGGCTTTCTGTTACTGTGCTCATTTCCTTATTTCCACTTATAAAATGTGCTGTGTGTGTGCACTGTATTTAAACTAATGAAACAGAAAGCAAATGTTTAACAGAATAAGAAAGAAATGAAATTCATGGCAGATACGTTACTTATCACTTTTGTGTATCTGGAGTCCTATATAGGTCAAAATCAGGGATTTTAATGCCTTGAGTTAAGCAGTAGCAGTAGTAGCAGGAATAACAAGGTCAGCAGCAACAGCTGACATTGATTGAGCTGTGATGTTGGGTTTATGTGTGTGTTACTATGTTTCCAAGTGCCTTACTTGTATTACAGGTCTTCTTAATAAACCTAGGAGGGAAGTAACGTTCTCTCCATTTTATAGGTGAGGAAATCAGGGTACAGAGAGGGTGGGAAACTGGCTCAAGGTCGTATAGCTAGGATACATACTCACTGACTTGGCAGTTCTCATATATTTAAATGTATTTTATTGATCAGTTAAATACATTATTGAAATGTCTCTCAGTTAATGTGTTATCTCCTTTCCAGGGATTTGGACTGGCTGTTCTTTCTGGGGGCATTGGTTACAGAATATCTTCAGTGTAAATATGACTAAGCCTAGTGGTGTATATATTCGACTTGCTTGAATTACTAAATTCCCTCAAGGAACTGAAGCAGTCCTTACTATGCATTGTTAACAATAATGTTTTCTAAATACATGTATGAAAATACTATAGATTTATGAAGGTGCCTTAATTTATTCCACAGAATGTCATTGAAATGGAAAATTTAATATGCTTACATGCTGGCTGGGGAAATATGTTGTTTTGGATTACAGGAGATAAAGGATTTTTTAAGGGCTTGGCAGTTATGTTAATAGGTAAAGCAAACATCCTTCTTTCTTTCATGTTTGTTTTGTTTGTTTGTTTGTTTGTGCAATGGCGTGATCTCAGCTCACCACAACCTCCACCTCCAGGGTTCAAGCGATTCTCCTGCCTCAGCCTCCTGAGTAGCTGGCATTACAGGCATGTGCCACCATGCCTGGCTAATTTTGTATTTTTAGCAGAGATGGGCTTTCTCCATGTTGGTCAGGCTGGTCTCGAACTCCCGACCTGAGGTGATCTGTCTGCCTCGGCCTTCCAAAGTGCTGGGATTATAGGTGTGAGCCACTGCGCCTGGCACATCTTTCTTATTTAGCAAGAAGTAATACTGTATTCTAAAATTGTGCCTTGCAGGAAGAAAGTTTCAGCTAATACAGACATAATATTTTTATAAGTTTAGAGAAATTTTTATTGGCTAACAAATAGTACCTTGTGTTATGTTTGAATGCCTTTATGTTCAACTCAGTATTTTTCCCCCTTGTTTTTTTTAGTTCTTCACCAAAGGACATGGATGAAAATGAAAGCAACCAGTCTCTGATGACAAGCAGCCAATATCCTAAAGAAGCAGTAAGAAAACGTCAAAATTCAGCACGGAATTCCGGAGCAAGTGATTCTTCTAGGTTTTCTAGGAAAAGCTTCAAACTGGATTATAGACTAGAAGAAGATGTAACTAAATCCAAGAAAGGAAAAGATGGGAGATTTGTGAATCCGTGGCCAACATGGAAAAACCCCTCTATTCCAAATGTTCTCAGATGGCTGATAATGGAGAAAGATCACAGCAGTGTTCCAAGTTCTAAAGAGGTAGCGCTTGGCTTTTTTGAGTGCTTTATATTTGCTCTTCATATATGACACTCTAGTTATTTGAGCCCTTGTATATCATAAGGCATAGAATTAGGTCTGAGGAGATAAAGTGGATAGGTGTAACCTAGGCCCTAAAGTTCATCGTTCAGTAGCAGAGTACATATAGGAATAACCAACCCTGATCTGGTGGCAACTAGAGGTAGGAACAGAGTGCTTTAGAGGTACAGGAAAGAACGTGATGCTGACAGGAAGAGCTGGAGATGGCTTCACAGAGGAGGTGAATATTTCAGCTGGGCCTAGTCAACTAAAAAGTATTTTGACAGTGATTTTCCAGGTAGATGATGGCATGAACAAGGTCATGAAGGTGAGACAGTGTATTACCTGCTCTGGAAGGTAGTAGCCTGGTACGTGTGTAGAATATGGATCATGAGGGTGAAGGCATGGCCTGGAGTGCTTGGCTTTTAACCCTTGGATAAGGCTACCAAAGCTGTGAAAGGGAGCTTCAGATGACCTTTCCAGACCTTGAAAAGTTGACTTTAGGTTCCTAGCCTTTAAATGTACTAGTTTTACTTAAGATGATTCTACTTGGCCTTCTTCTATTCTGTTAGAATAGACAGATCACAGTTTTGGGTTAAGTTGATTTCATGGTTTACATTGAGTATATCAATATTTTTCATTGGTGAATGAAGTAAGTACTATGACTGTGTCTCCTTTCCTTATATACCTCTCCCTCTGCTGTGTTAACAACATCTCTTTCATCTGCTTGACTTTCTGTGTATTTATGACAATTATTTCCCTGCCTCCTATGGCCTCTCAATGCCATTTTCCTGAGGGAAAGACTCTCAGGTGGTCGTTCAGCAGTGGGCTGTAGTCTGAGCTGATGCCTTCCCAGGGTCTCTGCCGACTTACATTCTAGGGCACCCTTCACCAGCCTCCTGGGCTCCCTTGTGTCTTCTATGGTCACCCTTGTTTTCTGCATCCCACTTGTTCCTCTTTCTGTGTCATTTTCTCATTTTGGTGGAGCATATTTTCAGTGAACTTCCTGAGAAAGGGTACATGGAAAGTAAGTTTTTTGAATTCTTGCTTGTCTGAAATGTCTTTATTCTCATTCATAATTGATAATTTGGGTATAGAATTTTTGTTTAGAAACAGTTTTCTCTCAGAATTTGAGAGTATTGCCTCCATAACTTTATTTCTAGTGTGGCTGTGGGGAAGTTCAGTGCCGTCCTTACTCTTGATCCTTTGAACAGGCCCTTTGTTTTCTCTCTAGAGACTTTGAGAATCCTCTCTTTGGCACCAGTGTTCTGAAAATTGCCACGATGTGTAGTTCTTTATTTATTCATTGTGCTCTGTGTGTGGTGGGCCCTTTCAGTCTGAAAATCCATTTCCTTCAGTTCTAGGAAATTTCATCTGTATCTTTGAAAATGTCCTTCCCTATATGTTTTTATTCTAAAATGACTATTAGTTATAGTAGTTCTATTTTGGACCTCCTGGATCAATTCTCTGTAATTTAAGAAAATTTCTTCTATGTTTTATCTTTTTAAAAATATTACATGGCTAGGTGCAGTAGCTCATGCCTATAATACCCACACTTTGGGAGGCTGAGGCAGGTGGATTGCTTGAGCTGAGGAGTTCGAGACCAGCCGGGGCAACATAGCAAAATGCCATCTCTACCAAAAAAAAAAAAAAAAAAAAAAAAATACAAAAAATTAGCCAGGTGCAATAGAGTGTGCCTATAATCCCAGCTACTTGGGAGGCTGAGGCAGGAGAATCACCTGAGCCTGGGAGGCAAAGGTTGCAGTGAGCCAAGATCGTGCCACTACACTCCAGCCTGGGTGACAGAGCAAGACCCTGTCTCAAAAAACAAAACAAAACAAAAAAAATTGCATTCTGAGGAGGTGGCCCCTGGGAGGAATGATGCTAGGTGCAGATGCAGTGTGGCTTTTGATGGTGCCTTATGAACAGTTGTGTCCCAAAGGAGGTATGAGGATAACTGCTGAGGTCCTAAAGAGCAAGCCTAACTTTAGCCATTGGCACATAGGCATTAAACAGAAGCCTGGAAGTTGAAATGATAGAATCTTACTTGTCTAGACTAGCTTTATGGTTTTATTACTGGTAACGTTTTTATCTGTTGATTGAGTGCAGATTTTTGGAGACCTTTTAAAGGTATAGAGAATCGGCTTGACAACAGTGCACATGGAGCAAGTTTTAAAGAAGCAAAGAACTCAAAATTCATGCTTGGAGAAGTGCAGGCAGACCTGATTTCCTAAAGAGGTCTAGGGTTTTTAATGACCACAGATAGCAAGCAAGCATGCAAACCTTGATAGGGTCTCACTCTGTCACCCAAGCTGGAGTGTAGTAGCCCTTTGAGGCTCACTACAGCCTCAAACTCCCGGGCTCTAGTGACCCTCAGCCTCCCAGTGGTTTTTGTACACAGCCTGATGGAGTTTCATGGCAGAGAAGATTAATTAAACAATGTCTTTCAATTTTAATAAATTTCAGCAATTTGAAAAAAATTTGCATTCTGAAAAATTTCCTCAAGAATTTGTTTCATTTTTATTTATTATTATTATTATTATTATTATTATTATTTTTGAGACAGAGTCTCACTCTTTTTGCCCAGGCTGGAGTGCACTGGCGCCATCTTGGCTCACTGCAACCTCTGCCTCCCGGGTTCAAGTGATTCTTCTGCCTCAGCCTTGTGAGTAGCTGGGACCATGGGCGCCTGCCACCACGCCTGGCTAATTTTTTTTGTATTTTTAGTAGAGATGGGGTTTCACCATGTTTGGCCAGGCTGGTCTTGAACTGCTGACCTCAGGTGATCCACCCGCCCCGGCTTCCCAAAGTGCTGGGATTACAGGCATGAGCCACTGTGCCTGGCCCTATTTGTTTCATTTTTAAACCTTGTGTCTCGTAGAGTCGTAGGGATGACTGAAAATGTCACCATATACAATTTTTTTATAAAACTAGAAAATATGAATACTCTGATTGCAACCATTCATAAAATAGAACTACAAGTACAGATCATAATGTTAACAGTGGTTATAATATCTGCATGTTGATATAATGATGGCAACTATTTATATTTTTCTGCATTTTCCACATATTAAGAGCATTTTCTCTTATAATCAAGGAGTTTAAAAATACTAAGCCATTTTGATAGATCTTATACTCTTAATACACATGGCAAAAATATCAAACATTGGCATCAATAATTAATTGAATTGGAGTTATTTTGGTAACACATGTATCTTTATTCAGTGTTCACATATAACAAATGTGAAAAAGAAAAATGTTATTTTTTAATTTAAAAAATCTGAGTTGCAGATTACAGTATAGGTAGTAAAGTTTTCTAAGATGGTGAAAATGTACCTTCAGTTGGAAGAAAAGTATTACTGTGTCTTCTTTAAAAGTGATATTTTAAAAACATGGTTTAAATGGATTTGAGTCACATCTTTCTTTTTTGTCTCATTAATACACACAAACACATACTCTTAAAATTGTAAGTATGTTAAGAAGATATGAGTTTCATTGTTTAATTTTAATGTAAGTTAATATTTATGCCATCGAAGGAGCATGGCTTAGTGAAAGAGAGGTCTTTTGAGTTAGGAAGACCTAGATTTCACTCCTGATTGGGTACTTACCTCTTGCATGACTTTGGCAAATTTCTTAGTGACCCCAGTCTGCCTTGGTCTGGTCATCTGTAAAATGGCAGTAATATTTGCTTCACAAATTTAGATGACACAGTATACCTAAAGCACCTTGCAAAGAGTAGCTATTGAATGAACGTTAGGATTTTTCCCTTTTCCCGAGAAAAGTAAAACATTAACTAGCGTACTGGTTAATTATGAGTCTTGGGATTTTCCATTTTGCAGCTTTCAAAAAGGAAGACCAGCCAAGAAAGTCTTGATCTAGCCATGAAAATGCCACGTGAGTGATTAGTTTCCTCAAGTAAACAAGAGTCCATCCTCTCCCCACCCCTTTTTCTATATGCTTTTTCTTTCTTTCTTCCTTTTTTTTTTCTAAGACGGAGTTTTGCTCTTGTTGCCCAGGCTGGAGTGCAGTGGTGCAATCTTGGCTCACTGCAACCTTCGCCTCCTGGGTTCAAGCGGTTCTCCTGCCTCAGCCTCCCGAGTAGCTGGGATTACAGGCATGCACTACCACACTTGGCTAATTTTGTATTTTTAGTAGAGACAGGGTTTCTCCATGTTGGTCAGGCTGGTCTCAAACTCCTGACCTCAGGTGATCCACCCACCTTGGCCTCCCAAAGTGCTGGGATTACAGGCGTGAGCCACTGTGCCTGGTCTATTATTATTTTTTAATTATTATTTATTATTATTTTTAAATAGAGACAGGATCTCACTATGTTGCCCTGCTGGTCTCAAACTACTGGCCTCAAGCAGTCTTCTAGCCTAGGCCTCCTGAAGTGTTGGGATTACAGGCATGTACCACAGCACCAGCCTTAAACTTTTAAAAATAGTTTTATTAACATGATATAGGCTTCACATATTTAAAATGCATAATTTAATGAGTTTTGACATATGTATATACCCACGAAAAGATCACCACAATCAAGACAATGAACATATATATTATCCCCAAAAGTTTCCTTGTGTCCTTTTGAAATTCATACCCCCTTATTCTCCCAACCTGGACCCCAGGCTGTTACTTTTTACGAAAACATGTTAGTAAATGAGATTTAATGAGAGGAAGTATGGTTTACTACAGTGGGTCTGGCTGGGTGACCTTGCCTGAGTGCTGTAACTTCCCTAATTCATTGTATTCTTAGCTGTAGAATGGAGCTGGTTTATAGGACCTACTTCCAGTGTTGTGGTCGTAGCCAGTAGCAGTTAGTACAGTGTCTAGCACATAATAAGCACTTCATAAATGGTAGCTGTTGTTAATAGTATTTTGTTTTGTGTTATGCTAAAGTACTTGATACATTAGGTAGTTCATCATCATTATGTGCCCAATATGATGCCAAGTACGAGTACTTAGTAGGTACTCAGTTTATATTCATTCCCTCTCCCTTTCCTCATTAATTCTGGATAAGTATACCTCTTGGCATATGTCATTGTTCACTAACCCTAACTCCCAAATTTAAGAACTGATTGAAAGTTGACATTCATTCATTTACTCATCCATTCAACAAATTTTGTTGAGCACATGCTGTGTTTCATTAATCAAACTGAGCACTGAATGATTCCACCTTTCATAAGACATGGGACAAATTCTGTGTACACATAACCAGAATATCCAGAGGAGATGTGTGAATAGGGAGATATGGAAGTTGAGAGGCAGGAGTAAGTGCTTCTAGCTGTGGGACTCAAGAGATGGCCCGAAGGGATAAGGGGGAAGATAATTTAACCTGAGAAATGGGATGAGTACCGTGCAGGGTTCTTGAGCTCAGTCTAGGAGTAGGAAGCAGTCTCCATGTAGGTGGGACACAGCACATGTGGAAGAGGAGCATGAAACGCCCGAGAGAATTGGGGCAGTCCCTGGGCAGCTCACTGCTGGGCTGAGGAGGTGAGACAGACTTTGTCAGGCAGTAGAGAGCCAGTGGAGATTTTGCAGCAGAGGAGACTTAAGTTATACCTTAAGTTGGCTGTTTTTGAGGTGGCTCTTGTGCATGGATTGAGTTGACAGGCAGATAGTTGAGCAATCTGGAGAGCTTTGAATGTCTGAATATTTCTTAGCATCTTAACTAGGTTAGTAGCTCCACGGAAATGCAAAAGATTGGTAACATTGGTGCCTGGTTTGTTGTCAGGGTTGGAACTTTCTTGCTTTTTCTTTTGGACTACTTGTAGAGTGCTTATTATGTCCCAGCCACTCGTAATTCTATCCTCACAGGAATGAAGCATAGGTACAATTATTACACCTGTTTTCCAGATGAGGAAACTAAAGGTTTAAGTGGCTAAGAGAAACCTTTTTGTCCTCCACCTGTGCTGCTCCTTCTCTTCCTGTCCAGGCCTTCTTCCCATTCAGACTCACTCTCTCATTGACCTCTCAGTTTCCCTTCACCAGCATCTCCCCATCTGCCCTCTTTTGTCTGTGTCTACCGGTGTATCCTTTGCTCAGGTCCTCATCTCTTCATATCTTGGCAACTGTTGTGACACTCTCCATGCCATCATTTGGACTCTAGAATTGTTTTATCTAAACATAATTGGGTCATGTCTGTGTGTATGTGTGTGTGCACATGCATGCATGTGTACGTGTGTGTGTGCACGTGTGAGGGCAAAAAGATACCTCCTAGGCCTGGCGTGGTGGCTCACACCTGTAATCCTAGCACTTTGGGAAGCAGATCGCTTCAGCCCAGGAGTTCGACGCCAGCTTGGGCAACATGGTAAAACCCACCCTGTCTCTACAAAAAAAAAAAAAAAGATGCTTCCTCATTGTCTTAGAGTGAAGCATGACACTCAAGGCTCTTAATGTGTTCCCATCTTTATAGATTTAGTTTGTCCCCTGCCCTCAAACACCACATTCCTGTTTGGCTCTGTACCTTTGCTTGGGTGGTTTCTCTACTTGAAATGCCCTTCTTCCTTTTCTCTGCATCATGAGTTTCTCATCATTCTTCAGGAACTCACACAAGTCACTGTGTCTGTGATGCCTTTGGCAACTGGGCTCTTCATTCCTTCTTATCAGGCTATAACATGACCTGTATTTTAACTACTTATCCAGTACCACACCCTTTCAAAGTTGATTTAGTGGCAACTTACAAACATACATAAAGCAGTAAAAAAAGAATTGGATGAGGTATAGAATTACTATACCTAGCCAGTCTAGGAGCAAAATGGACTATTAGACTAGAAAAATAAAATAAAGCCAAGAATAAAGTTAATATAGAAATATGTTCCATCATGTGCTGCACGTTGCTGCAGGTGGCCTCAGCTTTTCCTCTGAACTTCCTAAAGAGAGAAGTATCATGAAATCTTAAGAGTTTTCCCAGTGACAGAAATGACAAAGCCAGGTGCTCTGGAGAAGAATTTTTCCTGAAACGAGATGGGAGGGAAATGTTTCTGGGGTAAGTAGGAAGGTGGAGGTGGTACCAAGTCTGCAGCCTGAACACATACATGGTGAGTTTCATGAGGTGGCTTCCTATGAGAGACCTCCATGCAGCTATATAGCATGGTACCAGAGCACAATTCAGTAAAAGAGCTTTATAAAAGCCAGGACTGTGATGCTGCAACCTTACCACTTTTTGTTGGCCTAGCTTAATCCAAGTATAAAATGTAGAATAACCAAGGGATAATACTCTTCACGCTTTGTTATAGTTATTGTTTTATATCCATTTACGGCCCCCCTTATCTCAGTGATCAGCTTCTCACAGGAAGGGATCATATTCACGTTGGTTTGATTAATGGTAGAAAATCAGAAAGGTAAGGAATGAGGAAAACAATTTATGACTGTGATTTGTCCAGGAATCATCACAGCGCTCCATTTTGAATTATAGGTACTCAGAAAGTGAGATTCAGGCCAGGCACAGTGGCTCACGCCTATAATACCAGCACTTTGGGAGGGCAAGACAGGATGATTGCTTGAGCCCAGGAGTTCAAGATCAATCTGGGCAACATAATGAGACCCTGTCTCTACAAAAAATAAAAAATTAGCTGGATATGGTGGTGCTGTGTGCCTGTGATCCCAGCTGAGAGGTTGAGGTGGGATGATCACTTGACCCTGGGGGGTTGTGGCTGTAGAGAGCTGTGATTATGCCACTGCACCCCAGCCTGGGTAACAGAGCGAGAGCCTGTCTCAGACAAAAAAAAAAAAAAAAAAAAAAAAAAGAAAAATATCAGATTCATGATTCATGTCTGAGAGCCAAGAGCTACAAATAAATGGTCATAAGCTTTCTTTACTATTTCCAGGGACTGACCTGCTTTTAAGGCAGTTTTTAGCAGCAAATACATCAGCTGAGTAGAATGGCAATAGAAAAATGACTGCATCTAGGCCAGTCTACTTCTGGCAGTACTGAAGAGAGCCTTTAAAAAATTGATACATTTAGCAGCACTCAAAGTTTTAAATTTAATTTTCTCTTTTGCATTTGGGAGGAAGAAGATTACCATATTATCATGATTATTAAGTCAGATTCAGAAAGAAGTATGCATTTTCAAGAAAAAAGCAAAAGTGTAGCAAGTTTATTGAATGACTTTAGTTCTCTTAAAACAGCTCTTCTTGCCATTATTTAGGTCAAAATGTGGACTATGATGATATAATACTTTTTTTTCTAACTACTCTTTTGTCTTGCTTTCTTTATACACAAAGGAACTAGACAAAGAACTCCCAGTGCTTAAGCCATATTTTATCACTAACCCTGAAGAAGCTGGAGTGAGGGAAGCTGGCTTAAGAGTCACATGGCTGGGACATGCCACGGTAATGGTGGAAATGGATGAGCTCATATTTCTCACGGATCCCATCTTTAGCTCTCGTGCTTCACCATCGCAGTACATGGGTCCAAAGCGATTTCGTCGTTCCCCGTGCACAATAAGTGAACTCCCTCCAATAGATGCGGTCCTTATCAGTCACAACCACTATGACCATCTGGACTACAATTCTGTCATTGCTTTGAATGAGCGATTTGGTAATGAGTTGAGATGGTTTGTGCCTTTGGGTCTCCTTGACTGGATGCAAAAATGTGGCTGTGAGAATGTGATTGAGTTGGACTGGTGGGAGGAGAATTGTGTCCCCGGACATGATAAGGTCACTTTTGTCTTTACACCTTCCCAGCACTGGTGTAAAAGGACTCTAATGGATGACAACAAGGTGCTATGGGGCAGCTGGTCTGTCTTGGGGCCTTGGAATCGATTTTTTTTCGCAGGAGATACTGGTTATTGCCCTGCTTTTGAAGAGATAGGAAAAAGATTTGGACCTTTTGACCTTGCAGCTATTCCCATCGGAGCTTATGAACCGAGGTATGTAGACTTCCAAAGAAAACATTCCTGCTATGTGATAAATTAACTGAATTTAAAAGTAAAGCAATTATGATTTTTGTGACACTGTAATTTATGATTTTAATGGTGGACTTTGTTATACATGATTGGGGGTTGGTAGGTCAGATTCAATTAGATTTTATTTTTAAATATTTTAAATTAAATATTTTTTAAATTGACAAGTAAAAATTGTGTATATGGTGTGCAACATGATGTTTTGATATATGTATGCATTGTGGAATAACTAAATCAAACTATTTTACATGTGCATTATCTCACATACTTATGTTTTTGTGGTGAGAATTAAAATATTTTAATTATAGTCATATGAGTTAAAAAAATTACTCAAAATCAGGGATGATGTTACCATAAGAAAGGGATCAAGGTTTAAAGAATTACTATACCTAGCCAGAAGTTCACATACCATTCAACTAAACTGGTCAGCCAGTAATAAAACCTACTCTTATTCTTTCACATGGAGAATACTTTCTTTATATAACCACCTTTTGCTCCATAACTTGAGTGCCCCAATCCCCTGTCCTACAGCTCTCCTACGTTTAGCAAAGAGAAAAAGCAAGGAATTGGCCTATAGCATTAGTCCCTGGTGAGGGTTTTATTTCAGTCAGCACTGAAGTTAATCTGGTCATGGTGGTGTTGTACTACTCACCACTCATCCTCCAACCTTGACATACTATTGACCTATTTCAGAGCAGCGAAAGGTCACACTCTCATTGGACACCTAGGAGACTCATCCACTGTCTTTGTTTTCCTTAATATTCTCTGTTTAGGGAAAAGAGAAGTGATTTCAAAGAATTAAGTTAGATTTCAGTCAACTCTGGTTTATATGTGCAAATAAAGAGAAAACAAAACACTAATAGTAACAAAGCAATGGATAATTTTAAAAATATTGTATTCTATAGTGCATGGACAGATACATACAACAACATTTTGTTTAGGTAATTCCATAAGTGGAAGAACAAGTATTTCTCTAATACATAGATGAATTGAATGAATCTAAACTTTTGTTTTCATCTGATTTTGTTATTTGCTAAATTTTTACATTCACTAAAACGATTTTGTCCCTATTTTTATTTACTAATGCTTATTTATCCCTTTTTGTTTTTTGCTAGTTTCCTTATTTGGAGGGGCTAGATATTTTTACCCTTTTTTGGTTCTTGATAATTATTAAAATGATTACAAATCAATATTGGTGCTTGAATTTTACTTTTCTAATTAAATAGTTATAATTCTAATGAAACCTCTCAAAACCTGTCAACTTATATATTTTTAGAACTGTTACAAATCAGTTATGTATTTGTAACATAAAATTGGTCTTTACTCGATGTATGTTCCTTTTTTGGTTGGTTGTTTGAGATGGAGTCTCACTCTGTTGCCCAGGTTGGAGTGCAGTGGCACGATCTCGGCTCACTGCAACCTCCGTCTCTGGGTTCAAGTGATTCTCCTGCCTCAACCTCCCAAGTAGCTGGGACTACAGGCGCCTGCCACCATGCCTGGCTAGTTTTTTTATGTGTGTTTTTAGTAGAGACAGGGTTTCACCATGTTGGCTAGACTGGTTTTGAACTCCTGACCTCAAGTGATCTGCCTGTGTCGGCCTCCCAACGTGGTAGGATTATAGGCGTTAGCCACCATGCCCAGCCTGATGTATGTTCTTAATAGATTAGAACATCTTTTATTTGTTATGAAAATAAGTTTTCATATGTAGTAATATATAAATTTGTCACATATATTTGTGATGATAAAATATGTACAACCAAATTTACTCACATAATCCCCCTTTCCTGCTTGCATTGCAGGCAAACAGGAAACAACTAAGATGGGAAAAAGACAAGGAGGCTATTATTTGCCCTAAGAGAGTTAAATTGTGGTAGCCTCTAATGTGTAGTCTGTTTCTTTGGTTACTGTTAACGGCTTTAGAAATAAGATATTGAATAACACTTGAGAGTGCTCTATAAATTTAAGATGTTTAGACCGAAAACAACTTTCAATAATATGCTTGGAATGTTTCATTCTTACTTTAGGGAATCTCCTGTCACCAGGTATTCTATCCAAGTCAGTTAAGATTTTAAGTTTTTATTTTAATTGTTATATCACAGTAAAAAATTTAAATCTATTTCAGGTGGAAAGGAATATATCTATCCCTTTGATTTGCACTAGGATTTAAAAAAAATCAAGAGAGAAACACCAAAAACCATTTTCATCTTTCCCTGAATCCCAAGAGTCAGGAGATATGGCAGAACAGTGCTGCTCTCATTTGCTGTTGAGGAGAACACAGTGGCTTTGTTTTCAGCCTTCTGTAGGACCCAGCAACTCCTAACAGTAAATATCTGTTGCAGATGGATAAACTTCTCCATGATGTCTTCTGTAAAGTGTGGAAGCTCCTGTGCTGAATCCATGTCTGTTGGTCTTCACTGTAGTGTTAGTTGTCACTGGCAGACTAGGATGTAAATAATGTGAATACAGTGTTGTTTTTCCTCCTTGAAACTGATGGCTTGGAAGGCAAAGGATTTGCTTGTAGACAGTACACTTTCTCCTTTATATCAGGAATAATACGTCTTTCTTCTGAAAGTGTTGGTTTTGTTTACTGTTTTGGGAGAATTCTATGAAAGTAGATGATGTTCTCTATGCTTTCCTAAGCCTTGTCTTGTTTAATCCTCACAATACCCTCACATAATGGGGTAAAATTTATATTTCACAGACAAAGAAATAGCAGCTCAGAGAATTTGAACAGACTTTCCAAAGGCATTCTAAGAACTGCAAGAGCTAGGATTCACACCCAAGCCTTCTGCCTCCTGAGCCCTCGCTCTTCCCAAGGCATTAGGCACCCTTTCATTATTTCCTTAATCATTTACCCATTAGTCTGATCTTCTTGCCAAACCAAACACCTCATTGTTCAGTTTTATGATTAAATAAAATTTCTTGAATAGTAATTGGATATTTGGCTCCTGGTCTTTAAATTTTATGTACTAGTTTTTGTTTATTTTTGCTTTAGCAGGTTTTTACAAATTTGTATCAGCAGGACATACAAATTCTTTTGTAATTGGAGCTTTGGTTTTTATTTCTTTACCAATTATTCAGTTTCTTTGATACATATCCAGGACTGTAAAATATCTACTTTTAAAAGTAACAGTGAGGCAGGACTTATTTCCCAGTCTCAATTGATAAAGTGAAAAAACTGGCAGCTGGGCGCGGTGGCTCACGTCTGTGATCCCAGCACTTTGGGATGTGGAGGCAGGCAGATCACAAGGTCAGGAGATCAGTACCATCCTGGCTAACATGGTGAAACCCTGGTTCTACTAAAAATACAAAAAATTAGCCGGGAGAGGTGGTACGTGCCTATAGTCCCAGCTACCCAGGAGGTTGAAGCAGAAGAATCACTTGAACCCAGGAGGCGGAGGTTGCAGTGAGCTGGGATCGCGGCACTGCACTCTAGCCTGGGCGACAGAGTGAGACTCAATCTCAGAAAAAAAAAAAAAGAAAAAAAGAAAAAACTGGCAAAAACCAGCAGATGGTGACAGAAGTGATCCCTAGCTGCCCTCATTGCTCATTAGCCTAAGACTCTCCCACCATCACCATGACAGTTTATAAATGGCCATGGCAACAACCTAGAAGTTACTGCCCCTTTCCATGGCAATGACCAAGAAGTTACCACCCCATTCCTAGAAAGTTCTAAATAATCTGCCCTTTAATTTGCATTAACCCATTCCCTAATTTACATATAATTAAAAGTGGGTATAAGTGAGTGTAAATACAGTTACCAACCCCTCATATGTTGCCAACTCTGAGTGCACTTACTGCCTATAACTTAGCACTGCTCCTCAAGGAGCAGTATCGTTTAAAAAAAATTGCTGGCCAGCACCACTGGCTTGCCGTTGAATTATATTTCGTTTGTGAGGCCAAAAACCCTCCTGGGCTAAGCCTCAATTTTGGGGCTCGCCTCCCCTGCATCATCAGTAAGTTGTATCTTCAGATAGATCCAGTAAAATCAAAATATACGTGAAACAAAAATCTCACTATTCAGAGGGGAGTTTGCTTGAGACTTACTTATTTTATAGCAATTTGTACAAGAAAGACTTTTGCTTGTTTTATTTTTCAGCAGAAAGTGTACCAAAGGGAGATGGTTTTGCCTCCTGTGACTTAATTCCTGTGCAGAATTTGTTTTGTTTTTACAATCTAGCCTTGACCTGGCCTTCAGACTTGGTTTCTAGCTCATCCTCCCCAAAACTGCATGTTTTATCCCAGTGGTTCTTAATTCTCAACATCCATAGTCCTGCGCAGAATCTTAAAGTTTGGTTAAGTGAAACAGATTTTAGAATTTAGTGTATATCTCAAAGGTCAGAATTAAGAAATTGCCATGTTTCTTCAGGTGGTTTATGAAATACCAGCATGTAGACCCAGAAGAAGCTGTAAGGATTCACACTGATGTCCAAACAAAGAAATCTATGGCAATTCACTGGGGAACTTTTGCCTTAGCAAATGAGGTAAGTTTGATTGCGATAAAAATAACTTTGTGTGTTTGACCAATGATAGGATTCAGGCATCACTGTTCCTTAGTTTTCAGACCCAAGACTCTGGAATCAGATACTGCACAGTCATCACAGTCACTGCATGAATTAGGGTGGTAAATCATACTAATTAGTAGAACAATACACACATATACAGTCAGAAAAAAAAAACAACACAACCTCATTGTGTTTTCTTTTGGCTTATTTCTGAAGTTAGTAAAGCTTGTATTTGTATAACCAAAAATCTGTATGTGGTCTGGAGACTAGAAAAGCAAGCCATCATGTCTCACCCCTCAAGCAGGCTCTCATGCTAGCAGAAGACAGAAGTCATGTATGTGATACAGATGTTAGAAGGGGAAAGTGCTGTAATGTGGAACAGATGAGATGGTCTCAGAATCAGGATGTTTGCTGATGGCAGGGATCAGAGAGGGCGTGATGGAATAAGTGACATTTGAACTTGGCTCTGAGAGGGCAGGGAGGAAGGCATTTTCAGAGGAGGAAAGGGCAGAGCATAGGCTCGGAGGCAGCTAGTGTGGGGAGTACTTGAATCAGTTCAGCAGGAGAGTGGAGGGCAATAGGGAGAAGTAAGGCTAGTGTGGAACTTTCTAGAAATATATTCAGTAAACATTGACTCGGTGTCTGCTATGTGCCAGGCATAGGGATAAATGTGATTTTATTCCTAGATTAAAACAGAAGAGATAATTTTTCCTTAAGGCAGATGGACCCTAGAACTCTGCCACTAGCCTGGGTCCTGGGATCAAGCAGAGGATAGTATAAAGCTTTCTCTCCTTTCCTGGATCCAAGGTCTTCTCTAAACAAAACTTAGAAATGTATGGTTAGGCCCAGTGCAGTGGCTCACACCTGTAATCCCAGCACTTTGGGAGGCTGAGGCAGGTGGATCACTTGAGGTCAGGAGTTCGAGACCAGCCTGGCCAACATGGCGAAACCCCGTCTCTACTAAAAATACAAAATAGCCAGGCGTGGTGGTGCGTGCCTGTAATCCCAGCTACTCGGGAGGCTGAGGCAGGAGAATCGCCTGAACCCAGGAAGTAGAGGTTGCAGTAAGTCGAGATTGTGCCACTATACTCCAGCCTGGGCAAAAGAGTGAGATTTGGCTGGGCACCTGTGGCTCACACCTGTAATCCCAGCACTTTGGGAGTCTGAGGCGGGTGGATCACCTGAGGTCAGGAGTTCGAGACCAGCCTGGCCAACATGATGAAAACCCATCTCTAATAAAATTAGCTGGGCGTGGTGGCAGGCGCCTATAATTCCAGCTACTCGGGAGCCTGAGGCAGGAGAATAACTTGAACCTGGGAGACAGAGGTTGCAGTGAGCCGAGATTACGGCACTTCCTTCCAGCCTGGGTGAAAGAGCGAAACTCTGTCTTGAGAAAAAAAAAAAAAAAAAAAGTGAGACTCTGTCTTAAAAAAAAAAGTGAGACTCTGTCTTTAAAAAAAAAAAAAGTGTGGTTAGGACTTGGCTTCTTTACTTTCTGTGGCATCTTCCACATCCCAGAGCCTCTCTGCAGGAACTCAGTGTTTTCTTGCAGTTTTAGTTACTCCTCTGTCTCACTTATGGCCTGCCCTCTCCCAAAGATGCAGTGTGTTCCAAAATTACCTAATACACTGCCTGCCCATTCCCCCACTCCCTAATCAAAATTCCTGTGCCATGAGGCAGCAACCCTGAGCCACAATGCAGCAATTCTTGGCCACTGTTGGGAGAAGGAATAGAATAATGACTAACCATAGGGTTGTGGGGAGGATAAATGAGAATATAAATGTGGGTGTGTGGGTGCGTATTTGGAGAAGGGAGAAGTTTAAGACTGGTTTTCAGTGACAATTTCTTATTCCATCTATATATGTGTGCGTGTATGCACATATTCCATTATGTATATTCCATATATATGGGACTTAGATGAAGTAATGGTATTTTATTAAACCTATGCAAAGAAAGGAATCAAGGTTGACTCCTAGATTTTTAGCTTCAATAGCTGGTTAGACAGTTGTGCTCTTTACTGAGATGGGGAAGATGAGAGAGGATTAAAAAATCCTGTCTTTGAGAATTATTGTGTTATTCAGCCTTCAAGAATTATTCCTGTTATAAACCTAACCGCCATCTTTATTTCTTAATGAGAATGTTAATAAAAACTCATTTGACTTTCAGCATTTTGGAATTTGTTCATGTTTTGATGTTGAATAAACCTCATAACTATGAGTTAGTTGAATTATAAAGCAGATATAATCTTCAGAGAGGATATGTTACCCTTTACTTCTTTTTTTTTTTATTATACTTTAAGTTCTGGGATACATGTGCAGAACATACAGGTTTGTTACATAGGTATACACGTGCCATGGTGGTTTGCTGCACCCATCAACCCTTCATCTACATTAGGTATTTCTCCTAATGCTATCCCTCCCGTAGCCCCCCACCCCCTGACAGGCCCCAATGTGTGATGTTCCCCTCTCTGTGTCCATGTGTTCTCATTGTTCAACTCCCACTTATGAGTGAGAACATGCGGTGTTTGGTTTTCTGTTCTTGTGTTAGTTTGCTGAGAATGATGGTTTCCAGCTTCATCCATGTCCCTGCAAAGGACATGAACTCATCCTTTTCTATGGCTGCATAGTATTCCATGGTGTATATGTGCCACATTTTCTTTATCCAGTCTATCATTGATGGGCATTTGGGTTGGTTCCAAGTCTTAGCTATTGTGAACAGTGCCTCAATAAACACACGTGTGCATGAGTCTTTATAGTAGAATGATTTATAATCCTCTGGGTATATACCCAGTGATGGGATTGCTGCGTCAAATGGTATTTCTGGTTCCAGATCCTTGAGGAATCGCCACAGTGTCTTCCACAGTGGTTGAACTAATTTACACTCCCACCAACAGTGTAAAAGCATTCCTATTTCTCCACATCCACTCCAGCATCTGTTTCCTGACTTTTTAATGATCACCATTCTAACTGGCATAAGATGGTATCTCAATATGGTTTTGATTTGCATTTCTCTAATGACCAGTGATGATGAGTTTTTTTTTTCATATGTTTGTTGGCTGCATAAATGTCTTCTTTTGAGAAGTGTCTGTTCATATCCTTTGCCCACTTTTTGATGGGGTTGTTTGTTTTTTTCTTGTAAATTAAGTTCTTTGTAGATTTTTGTTATTAGCCCTTTGTCAGATGGATAGATTGCAAAAATTTTCTCCCATTCTGTAGGCTGCCTGTTCATTCTGCTGATAATTTTTTTTGCTGTGCAGAAGCTCTTTAGTTTAATTAGATCCCATTGTCTATTTGGCTTTTGTTGCCATTGCTTTTGGTATTTTAGTCATGAAGTCTTTGCCCATGCCCATGTCCTGAATGGTATTGCCTGGGTTTTCTTCTAGGGTTTTTATGGTTTTAGGTCTTATGTTTAAGTCTTTAATCCATCTTGAGTTAATTTTTGTATAAGGTGTAAGGAAGGGATCCAGTTGCAGCTTTCTGCTTATGGCTAGCCAGTTTTCTGAACACCATTTATTAAATAGGGAATCCTTTCCCCATTGCTTGTATTTGTCAGGTTTGTCAAAGATCAGATGGTTGTAGATGTGTGGTGTTACTTCTGAGGCCTCTGTTCTGTTCCATTGGTCTATATATCTGTTTTGGTACCAGTACCATGCTGTTTTGATTACTGTAACCTTGTAGTATAGCTTGAAGTCAGGTAGCATGATGCCTCCAGCTTTGTTCTTTTTGCTTAGGATTGTCTTGGCTATGTGGGCTCTTTTTTTGTTCCATATGAAATTTAAAGTAGTTTTTTCCAGTTCTGTGAAGAAAGTCAATGGTAGCTTGATGGGGGTAGCATTGACTCTATAAATTACTTTGGGCAGTATGAGCATTTTCACAATATTGATTCTTCCTATCCATGAGCATGGAATGTTTTTCCATTTGTTTGTGTCCTCTCTTATTTCCTTGAGCAGTGGTTTGTAGTTTTTCCTGAAGAGGTCCTTCACATCCCTTGTAAGTTGTATTCCTAGGTATTTTATTCTCTTTGTAGCAATTGAGAATGGGAGTTCACTCATGATTTGACTCTTTGCCTGTTATTGGTCTTCTGCTCGCTTTTGAGTTTGCTTGTGATTTTTAATTCTGTATAGGAATGCTGTGATACATTGATTTTTGTATCCTGAGATTTTGCTGAAGTTGCTTATCAGCTTAAGGAGATTTTGGGTTGAGATGATGGGTTTCTCTAAATATACAATCATGTCATCTGCAAACAGAGACAATCTGACTTCCTCTTTTCCTAATTGAATACCCTTTATTTCTTTCTCTTGCCTGATTGCCCTGGCCAGAACTTCGAATGCTATGTTGAATAGGAGTGGTGAGAGAGGGCATCCTTGTCTTGTGCTGGTTTTCAAAGGGAATGCTTCCAGTTTTTGCCCATTTAGTAGGATATTGGCTGTGGGTTTGTCATAAATAGCTCTTATTATTTTGAGATATGTTCCATTAATACCTAGTTTATTGAATAACTTGAAGGGTTGTTGAATTTTGTCGAAGGCCTTTTCTGCTTCTATTGAGACAATCATGTGGTTTTTGTCATTGGTTCTGTTTATGTGATGGATTACATTTATTGAGTTGCGTATGTTGAACCAGCCTTGCATCCCAGGTATGAAGCTGACTTGATCATGGTGAATAAGCTTTATGATGTGCTGCTGGGTTCAGTTTGCCATTATTGAGGATTTTCGCATCGATGTTCATCAGGGATATTGGCCTGAAATTTTCTCTTTTTTGTTGTGTCTCTGCCAGGTTTTGGAATCTCTGCCAGGTTTTGGTATCAGGATGATGGTGGCCTCATAAAACGAGTTAGGGAGGATTCCCTCTTTTTCTATTGTTTGGAATAGTTTTAGAAGGAATGGTACCAGCTCCTCTTTGTACCTCTGGTAGAATTTGGCTGTGAATCCGTCTGGTCCTGGACTTTTTTTGGTTGGTAGGCTATTAATTGCGTCCTCAATTTCACAACTTGTTATTGGCCTATTCAGGAATTTGACTTCTTCCTGGTTTAGTCTTAGGATGGTGTATGTGTCCAGGAATTTATCCATTTCTTCTAGATTTTCCACTTTATTTGCGTAGAGGTGTTGATAGTATTCTTTGATGGTAGTTTGTATTTCTGTGGGATCAGTGGTGATATCTCCTTTATCATTTTTTATTGCGTCAATTTGATTCTTCTCTCTTTTGTTCTTTATTAGTCTGGCTAATGAATCCAGCTCCTGGATTCATTGATTTTTTTTGAAGGATTTTTCGCGTCTCTGTCTCCTTCAGTTCTGCTCTGATCTTAGTTATTTCTTGTCTTCTGCTCGCTTTTGAGTTTGTTTGCTCTTGCTTCTCTAGTTTAGTTGTGATGTTAGGGTGTTGATTTTAGATCTTTCCCGCTTTCTCTTGTGGGCATTTAATGCTATAAATTTCCTCTACACACTGCTTTAAATGTGTCCCAGAGATTCTGGTACATTGTGTCTTTGTCCTCATTGGTTTCAAACAACATCTTTATTTCTGCCTTAATTTTGTTATTTACCCATAGTCATTCAGGAGCAGGTTGTTCAGAAGCAGGTTTTTCAGTTTCCATGCAGTTGTGTGGTTTTGAGTGAGTTTCTTAATCCTGAGTTCTAATTTGATTGCATGTGGTCTGAGAGACTGTTATGATTTCCTTTCTTTTGCATTTGTTGAGGAGTGTTTTACTTCCAATTATGTGGTGAGTTTTAGAATAAGTGCGATGTGTTTCTGAGAAGAATGTATATTCTGTTGATTTGGGGGTGGAGAGTTCTGTAGATGTCTGTTAGGTCTGCTTGGTCCAGAGCTGAGTTCAGTTCCTTGATATCCTTGTTAATTTTCTGTCTCGTTGATCTGTCTAATATTGACAATGTGGTGTTAAAGTCTTCCACTATTATTGTGTGGGAGTCTAAGTCTCTTTGTAGGTCTCTAAGAACTTGCTTTATGAATCTGGGTGCTCCTGTATTGGGTGCATATATATTTAGGATAGTTAGCTCTTGTTGCATTGATTCCTTTACCATTATGTAATGCCCTTCTTTGTCTCTTTTTGATCCTTGTTGGTTTAAAATCTGTTTTATCAGAGACTAGGATTACAACCCCTGCTTTTTTTTGCTTTCCATTTGCTTGGTAAGTATTCCTCCATCCCTTTATTTTGAGCCTATGTGTGTCTTTGCACATGAGTTGGGTCTTCTGAATACAGCACACTGATGGGTCTTGACTCTTTATCCAGTTTACCAGTCTGTGTCTTTTAATTGGGGCATTAACCCATTTACATTTAAGGTTAATATTGTTATGTGTGAATATGATCCTGTCATTATGATGTTAGCTGGTTATTTTGCTTGTTGGTTAATGCAGTTTATTCATAGTGTTGATGGTCTTTGCAATTTGGTATGTTTTTGCAGTGGCTTATACTGGTTGTTCCTTTCCATGTTTAGTGCTTCCTTCAGGAGCTCTTGTAAGGCAGGCCTGGTGGTGACAAAAATCTCTCAGCATTTGCTTGTCTGTAAAGGATTTTATTTCACCTTCGCTTTGAAGCTTAGTTTGGCTGCATATGAAATTCTGGGTTGAAAATTCTTTTAAGAATGTTGAGCTGGGCGTGGTGGCTCACGCCTGTAATCCCAGCACTTTTGGAGGCTGAGGCGGGCAGATCATGAGGTCAGGAGTTCGAGACCAGCCTGACCAACATGGTGAAACCCCGTCTCTACTAAAAATGCAAAAATTAACTGGGTGTTGTGGCGCACGCCTGTGATCCCAACTACTCAGGAGGCTGAGGCTGGAAAACTGCTTGAACCCGGGAGGTGGAGGTTGCAGTGAGCTGAGACTGCACCACTGCACTCCAACCTGGGTGACAGAGCAAGACTCCATCTCAAAAAAAAAAAAAAAAAAAAAAAAAAGAATGTTGAATATTGGCCCCTACTCTCTTCTGGGCTTGTAGGGTTTCTGCTGAGAGATCTGGTGTTAGTCTGATGGGCTTCCCTTTATGGGTAACTTAGTCTGATGGGCTTCCCTTTATGGGTAACCTGAAGTTTCTCTCTGGTTGCCCTTTACATTTTTTCCTTCATTTCACCCTTGATGAATCTGACGATTATGTGTCTTGAGGTTGCTCTTCTTGAGGAGTATCTTTGTGGTGTTCTCTGTATTTCCTGAATTTGAATGTTGGCCTGTCTTGCTAGGTTGGGGAAGTTCTCCTGGATAATATTCTGAAGAGTGTTTTCCAACTTGGTTTCATTCTCCCCATCACTTTCAGGTACACCAATCGTGTAGATTTGGTCTTTTCACATAGTCACATATTTCTTGGAGTCTTTGTTCATTTCTTGTCACTCTTTTTTCTCTAATCTTGTCTTCTCGCTTTAATTCATTGAGTTGATCTTCAATCTCTGATATCCTTTCTTCTGCTTGATCGATTCGGCTATTGATACTGTGTATGCTTAATGAAGTTCTCTTACTGTGTTTTTCAGCTCCATCAGGTCATTTATGTTCTTCTCTAAACTGTTTTTTCTAGTTAGCAATTTGTCTAACCTTTTTTCAAGGTTCTTAGCTTCCTTGCATTGGGTTAGAATACGCTCCTTTAGCTCGGAGGGGTTTGTTATTACCCACCTTCTAAAGCCTGCTTCTGTCAATTCATCAAACTCATTCTGTGTCCAGTTTTCTTCCCTTGCTGGTGAGGAGTTGTGATCCTTTGGAGGAGAGGAAGTGTTATGGTTTTTGGAGTTTTCAGCCTTTTTGTGCTGGTTTCTCCCCATCTTTGTGGATTTATCTACCTTTGGTCTTTGATGTTGGTGACCTTCAGGTGGGCTCTATGAGTGGACGTCCTTTTTGTTGATGCTGATACTATTCCTTTCTGTTAGTTAGTTTTCCTTCTTACAGGCCCCTCTGCTGCAGGTCTGCTGGAGTTTGCTGGAGGTCCACTCCAGACCCTGTTTGCCTGGGTATCAACATCGGAGGCTGCAGAACAGCAAAGATTACTGCCTGTTTCTTCCTCTGCAAGCTTTGTCCCAGAAGGGCACCCGTCAGATGCCAGCCAGAGGTCTCCTGTATGAGATGTCTGTCGGCCCCTACTGGGAGGTGTCTCCCAGCCAGGATACACAGGGGTCAGGGACCCACTTGAGGAGGCAGTCTGTCCCTTATCAGAGCTCGAACGCTGTGCTGGGAGAACCAGTGCTCTTTTCAGAGCTGTCAGGCAGGGACGTTTAAGTCTGCTGAAACTGCGCCCACAGCACCCCTTCCCCCAGTTGCTCTGTCCCAGGGAGATGGGAGTTTTATTTATAAGCCCCTGACTGGGGTGCTGCCTTTTTTTTTTAGAGATGCCCTGCCCAGAGAGGAGAAGTCTAGAGAGGCAGTCTGGCTGCAGCGGCCTTGCTGAGCTGCAGTGGGCTCTGCTCACTTTGAACTTCCCAGTGGCTTTGTTTACACTGTGAGGGGAAAACTGCCTACTCAAGCTTCAGCAGTGGCGGACGCCCCTCCCCCTACCAAGCTCAAGCATCCCAGGTCAGGGTCAGACTGCTGTGCTGGCAGCGAAAATTTCAATCCTGTGGATCTTAGCTTGCTGGGCTTTGTGGGGGTGGGCCCCGCTGAGCCAGACCACTTGGCTCCATGGCTTCAGCCCCCTTTCCAGGGGAGTGAACGGTTTTGTTTTGCTGGCATTACAGGTGCCACTGGGGTATGAAAAAAAAAAAAAGCTCCCGCAGCTAGTTTGGTGTCTGCCCAAATTGCCGCCCAGTTTTGTGCTTGAAACCCAGGGCCCTGGTGGGGCAGGCACCGGAGGTAATCTCCTGGTCTGCCTGTTACGAACACTATTGGAAAAGTGCAGTATCTGGGCTGGAGTGCACTGTTCCTCCCCGTACAGTCTCTCATGGCTTCCCTTGGGTAGGGGAGAGAATTCCCCAACCCCTTGTTCTTCCTGGATGAGGCAATGCCCCACCCTCCTTTGGCTCACCCTCCGTGGGCTGCACCCACTGTCTAACCAGCCCTAATGAGATGGACCAGGTACCTCAGTTGGAAATGCAGAAATCACCCACCTTCTGTGTAGACCTCACTGGGAGCTGCAGACCAGAGCTGTTCCTCTTCAGCCTTTTTTTTTTTTTTTTTTTTTTTTTGAGACGGAGTCTCATTCTGTTGCTCAGGCTGGAGTGCAGTGGCACGATCTCGGCGCGCTGCAACCTCCGTCTCCTGGGTTCAAGCAATTCTCCTGCCTCAGCCTCCCAAGTAGCTGGGATTACAGGTGCCGGCCACTATGCCTGGCTAATTTTTGTATTTTTAGTAGAGACAGGGTTTTGCCATGTTGGCCAGGCTGGTCTCAAACTCCTGACCTCAGGTGATCCGTCCGCTTCAGCCTTAACTGGCGTGAGCCACTGCACCCAGCCAGTTACCCATGACTTCTAAACACTTTAACACTCTTTGCATATATGCTGTTATAGTAGCTGCCTCGTGTAATATAAGCAGATTAAGGATGTCCTTAACTTGGCAATACTCTAAAATTGCATATATGGCAACATCTAATTTATCTAGGGAATGATGAGTGCATTTCCTACATATATTTAAGCACTAAAACTTAAATTACTAGTTTTGATGGAAACGAGTTTCAAGCATTACATAATATGTACATTGCCTTTCAAGTGATCCGGGTCTTTACTTTGAATATATTCTATTGTTGTATATCATGAAACTGACCCCTTTAGGAATTTACGAGTTGTGTGTGGCTAGCTGCCTAGACCCTAATGGATCCAGAATGCTCGGAGTCTTCTGCTTTTCCCATTTACTCATATTGATCTCTGATCTGCTGTTTTGCTTTATATGTAGTTGTTTTGTCCCATGGTTATGGGGCATTTTTATCTCCCTTCTGGACTAAAGTGCTTGGACTGTGAGCTCTCAGTCACTCAGAAGCCTTTCAGACCTACCTCCAGGGTTATCTTCCAGATGGTTGAAACAGCGAAGAATTGGTCTGTGAAGAAACTCAGAAAGATACTGCTAAATCTAGGCAGATTAAAGACAGAGGGTCTACTGCCAACTCTAACATATCAGAATTCTCACTAAACGCAAACATCGCCCTCCACACTAAAGTTATAGCTTAGCAAATAAGTTACTGACGTAGGGTGATTCTGTGAGTGTGTACTGTTAGCCCAGACTTGTACAGCATGGGAGAAAGAGAATTTAACAAAAGAAGTTATTTTTCAATGGGAAAAAAGCTCATCATTTTGAAATCTCTTAAAATAATTTAGGAAATTATTTCAGGGGAAATTTCTTGACTTAGGGTATAAAGTTAAATTTTATTTGTAATATAATTAGTGATCTTTTTTCTTTATATATAAAATAGACTAAAAGTAAATTCCTGTTATCAACTATCCATTACTAAGGGGTTAGCTCTAGGAATATTGGATAACCAGCATACAGTTAAAACCAAACTTACTCAGTAGTCAGTTGAAAGGTATCCTTTATCTTTAAACATAGCCATAAAACCTGGAACTGAGCAAGGGGGAAAAGGATGACCTGTGTGTGGCCAACAACTGTTACCAAACCTGTGCATTTAAGGGCTCAGGAAACTTGCCTGGTTTTCCTTGCACATCATTGGCTGTCCCTTATTCTCTGTTGCTAGTCCCTCCTCTCCGCTTGCTCTGAACAGTGCGTGCCGTAGAAGTCAGTCCACGGACCTCTTCTCTTCTGTAGTTGGTTTCTCCCTTGGGAATCGCATCCAGTCTTATGGCTTCAAATACCACCTACCTGCTGTTCCTCTCTAGCTCAGATGTTTTTCTTCTATAATCCACATTTATATATCCAACTGTCTCCTTCACATCTCCACTTGGATATCCATTAGGTACCTAGAACTAAAGTCTGAAATTAAACTTTCTCATCTTCCCTCAAGCTTACTTTTCAAACATCTCAGTAAAGGGTGACTCCCATTTAGCAATTCCTCAGGGCAAAATCTTGACTCCTCTTTGCCACACAGAGCTCAACCTTCATATTCTCTGGGATCCTCTTTCATTCTGTAGACTGTGGTTTCTGTATGTGACTAGACTTTTTGAGGATAACAACCCTTCTTCAGCAAAACAATTTGCTCTAGCATTTGGTTACACACACACACACACCACAATTTGATTTCTATATTTTTCAAAAATGTTAGTAACATGTAATTCTCTAATAACATCATCTTTGGCACTGATTCCATCTAGATTGGAATTTCATATGGTGAAACCGTGATGATTTCATGCAATCCAGTGATGTTCAAAGTAAGATGGCACCAAATTTCACATACATGGTGTTGGCATGATTTCTATCCAACCAAATACCTGTTGACTTAATTCATGACTCAAAACTGTATTAGAAAATGTGATAGACCCATTTGCTAATGCTTCAATTAAAAGAAAGGGCCTAATTCTAACTAGGCATCTGTTGGTTATTTTAGTTTGAACTGTTATTTGGAAAATCTCCCAAATATATGTTTAATCTTTTTCTATTTTTCTTCTTTCTCTTTGGCCAGCATTACTTAGAGCCTCCAGTGAAGCTGAATGAAGCTCTAGAGAGATACGGACTTAACGCTGAAGATTTTTTTGTCTTGAAGCATGGAGAATCAAGATACCTAAATAATGATGATGAAAACTTTTAATAAATGTGAGCACAGGCACTTTTAATGAAAAAGGCATCATCTAAGTTTAAAAACAAATGAAAAGACTTAGAAATTCATGAATATTGTGATTATTTTACATTTGGAAACAACTTCTGCAAGTTTATGTTTTATGTTTTGTGTAATAACTTGCTTCCTAGTATGATCAGCTCATGTACACTATGAGAGGGTTCAGGGGTGGGTCATTTAAATAATGAATTGGCTAATGTGGATTTTAAATTTCATATCATGATATAAGCACTGCAATGGAAATGTTTTTACTAAAACATTATATTTTTGTGGTACTAGAATTTCCTGAGGTGAAAAACCGATATTGAAGATTCATTTTTCTTTTTTCCATTCTTCAGGACCTTCGGCAAGGTGAGTCAAGGCTCTCTACCTACCTAGATGTTTTTCAGAGGCCTACAAATACAAGTATCTTTCTTATATGCACATTCTAATAAATGATGAAATTCAGTCCAACATGCTTATTATAAACATAGCAATTCTTGCTCTATCAAATTAGCTTATATGCCAAATATTAAATATGGTTTATTTAGGTAAGCATAAAAACATAGGGGCTATCATTTTTAAAGACTTGATTTTCTCTATTGTGGTAAAATATATAAATACATATTTGCCATTTTAAACATTTACCATTTTAACCATTTTTAAGTGTACAGTTCTTTCGCATTAATGCACCCATGACCACCATTCACTTAAATTTTTAAAAGAACAGTATATTCTTTTTTTCCTAGAGCCTTCAGATGAGAGGGAACAGTATATTCTATTGCACGTCTACAATTCCCAAAAGACCTCTTACTTTGGGAGGCCAAGGTGGGTGGGTCACTTGAACCCAGGAGTTTGACATCAACCTGGGCAACATGGTGACCTCCCGTCTCTCTCGGAAAAAAAAAAAGAAAAAAGAAAAAGCCGGGTGAGGTGGTGTGTACCTGTAGTCACAGGTACTTGGGAGGCTGAGGTGGGAGGATCACTTGAGCCCAGGAGATAGAGGCTGCAGTGAGCTGTGATCGTACCACTGCACTCCAGCCTGGGCGACAAAATGAGACCCTGTCTCAAAAGAAAGCCCTCTCCTTAGCTGAGCAGAGGAAGGGAAGGAGTGTGGCTATGAGAATATGATTTATGCCATTTTCTGTTTTTAAATCTAGAAGATCTTCTAAGCACAAATACAGCTACAATGAAATATTTTACAGACAAAATGTTAATAGACCATATTCTTTGAATTAAATTTGTTTTTAATTTTCTCTACACATTTTTTTTTTCCTGGAGTCTCTTAGCTCTAAATATATCAATCAGATTTATAATTTTTTTTACCTGATTCAGATGTCTTACATTTTTATATTAAATGAACCTTAAGCATGATTCTTTTGGTAAGCCAGTATGAATGCCAGTGGTTGGGGGGCGGGGGGGGAGTCAGTTGACATAAGATTTAGTCCTAATAAGGACTCTGTATTCACTTGATTATTCTGACCCTTCCTAAGGGAGGGAGGTGGATTAGATACCACTGGAGGCCCATTCTGTATTCCTAATCCAGTCTCAGCACTTTATTCATACAAAATAATCAAAATAGGTTTTCTACACCAAATGCTACCCAGGCAGTGCTCTATAATTTATTTGCACACCTGTATGTGTGGTGCCACGTTAGCCACTAAATCTGAACTTTTACCCTGCTTTCATCATGGATTTTTTTGTGTAACCTGAAACAAGTCACCAGTGCTCACTGTGCCTGTTTCCTCATTTGCAACAAGAGGATAATTCCGACCTACCTCTGAAAAATGTGTAGATTAAATGAGTTTTTAAAGCACTTTAGAAAATATAAGGGAGAAAATGATTTCTTAAGATATCACTGCCTAATATAGACAGGTATATTTGAAAGCTAAATACAGGTTAATGCTTTTGATAATGTATTGTTCCTGTTGCAAATTTAAGCATTATATATTAGGAGACTAAACATTGAAAACTTTCACTGATTTTTAAATTGGAGTAATAGCCTAAATAAGTGTAAATAATCTTTATCAAAATTTAGTGTTTATCTACAAAGATGCGAATCAGTCAAGGGGAAATGTGTATGCAATGTGTGTGTATATGATGTATGCGAACATATGTGATTTTGGGGTACTAAAGCACAAAAAAATCCCCCATAAAATAAACCTTCCTGAAAAGACTGATCATAAACTTTTTCACTCCAAGCAGATGTGAATCAAGATGTTAGGTTTATGGTGAGTTAGCTTTGAGGTGTGTTGCCCTAATACTAGCCAGCGTTGTTGTAGCCATATTCCCTGCTGCTGCACGCCGAATTGAAAATCCATCTCTTACCTCTTCTCTATGAAGCAAGCCAGGTATGTCTTGCTTAAGTATTTCTTCTCCATGAATGGCCTTAACATTATTTTGTATTCACGTGTACTGTTTAACTGAGGGTCTCAAAGCACTTTAAACTGTTGTGTTCTATTTCCACTCGTCTGGCCTGCCTCATTTTTCTAGGCCCTTTTGTAAGCTGTAATTTTTTATTACCACTCATGTTCTTTCTACACTGACACTATTCATTAAGAACATCAAGCTTCATCTCTGCTTACAGAATCTCACCTTATTGAGTGGGTTCCACTTTATTTTTCATTTGTTATCTACATTTTGAAGGGTTTATGTGCAAAGTGAAAACAAATTTTGAAAAATAAGACAAATCCATTCTCTTCTTCAATTCAGTCTAATATGCATTGTAGTGTCTTTTAATCAGTCTTATCCTCTAAGTCAACTTCATTTTCCTCTTCGTGAATACCCATAGCAATATGTAAGATTTTATTGAAGTTTCCTGTGATAACTGAGGAATACTTTGCTATGCCTCACTGCCCAATAGGGTGGGTCATCAATTAGGAGAAATCCCAAATTATAAAAGCCAACATATGCCGTGACCTACGTAGGAAAAGATGTATTTGTGCATCTTCTTTCTGGGTAGTTAAAAATTACTCCCTCTTTTCTCTAGCATTTTGACATTTCAGACTCAATGCTCTGATCTCTAGGGAGTGTGATTATTCAAACTAATGAGAGGACAAGAAGACACAGTTTTAGAATCTACTGCTGCTAAAGCACATTAAAAACAAATCCTGGTTTTTAATGTATGCATAGTTTCATATTTAATGAATATGCTTTCATTAAATAGGGAGGTAGATTTGAAAAAACCGTTATAAAGAAATGTGCCTTTTGGGGAATGAATACTTTTGTTCATGTCTAGCCCACTGGGAATTTTGTTTTCACCTTATACTGAGTCCTTTTTCTAATGTAAAAATATTTCTTCCAAGTTTGATTTCTGTATCAGGGTAACATTGAGAACACACATATTTCTGTTTGAGGATTTGTGACTTCCTATGGAAACAGTCTTGCATCTATGTATTTACAAATGAAATTTAAAGTATTCTTAAAGCTTTGCCTTAAATACTGCTTGCATACTGATTTACTTAATGCTAAGCATGGCAGGGGTTATAAATTTAAATACTATAAGACCTGGCTGAATCCCAGATGTATCAATAAATTGTTATAGTAGCTTATGGAAAATGCTATTAAAGATAAATTTTCATACATTGTATTTTTAGTCAAGTAAAATATGGATGAAAATTAATAAAGTACTGTCAAGGGAAAAAATATGTATAACCTTGTAAGTGATTTTTCTCCCCTTTATTAAAAAAAGATTATACAATTTGGGCTCATATTAAAAAATTCAAACAGTAGAACAGTGTGTACGTAGAAGGCATTCCCCACTCCCACTCCAGGAGTTTGGGTATCATTCTAGAAGTGTTCTGTCAATACATAAGCATTTTTCATTCAAACACACACACACACACACGGGATCCCATATTCTATAATTTTTGTGTTTTAAAAAACCACCATATTTCATAGATATCTTTCCACTTAAGCACATTCGGAGCTCCATCATTTTTTTTTTTTTTTGAGACAGAGTTTTGCTCTTGTTGCCCAGGCTGGAGTGCAATGGCGCTATCTCAGCTCACTGCAACCTCTGCCTCCCGGGTTCAAGCAATTCTCCTGCCTCGGCCTCCCAAGTAGCTGGGATTACAGGCATGCACCACCATGCCCAGCTAATTTTGTGTTCTTAGTAGAGACAGGGTTTCTCCATATTGGTCAGGCTTGGTCTCAAACTCCCGATCTCAGGTGATCTGCCCGCCTCAGCCTCCCAAAGTGCTGGGATTACAGGCAAGAGCCACCGCGCCCAGCACGGTCTTTTCAAAGACCAGATAATTTATTTAACCAACTGTCTAAAGATGGACATTGTGATTGATCACACTATTTTATATATAACATTGAATGGAGTGGGTGAGTCCTAAGAAACATTCTCTCCTAAAAGTTTACATTTTTCATTGACTAGAAGTGACCAAAATAGATTCTACTGATGAGAAAAGACTTTTGAAAGCAGTATGGTCAGGTTGGCAGGTGAATGGCCTCAAGAGCTTAGGATTTCGTTGCTACTAAAAGAACAAGACTATTCAGTTGTGAAACAATGATTTAGTCAAATACTGATGCTGTCTCAGATGAGTAACTGCAAATCACTTCAAAAGGTAGAAGGGTAGCTTAAATGTGAAAAAGGTTACTGCCACTTCATGTAGGGAAGATAACAAGCATTTGCAAATAGCAAAATAGAAAGAAATAAATGGTTTCAGTACAAGCTCTTATATTCACTTGGCATCAAAATAGTCCAAAATAAATCTGAGAACCACGGCAAGTTATAGCTGTGTTAATGACAAAATGTGATATTTACTGTTTAAATTTAGCAGCTGGGAGAATCCCCTTATAAGGAAGACAGAAAATACGTTTATATCCAGACTGCATTACTCTTTGGAAAAATATGACCAATCAGATTTTGGGTATTATTGTTACAACCTTTTCCTTCACCTCTGCATCATGGTGATCAACTAAAGCTCTTATTTTCTGGGCACATTCTTCTCCATGTAACAGGAAAAACAATGAACCTTCAGTGAAAGTAGGCTGCACAGCTAAATGGCCTTCTATTTTGAGGCAGTTCTTTATATTCTGAAATAGCGTAAGTACTCGAAGAAGAATCTCCTTTGCTACGTGGCTGTCATAAAGGGAAAGGAATGATGAATCCACCTGAAATATGAAACAATGAGTATTATTTTATATTAATAATATATGAAAACTTTTTCATGTATATTTTAACATTTTAAAACTACATTGAATAACTCACATTTTAAAATTTTTAAATTCACATTTAAAATGTATCTCACATTAAAAAAATTTTGTCACAGAAAACCCAAAATTTCATAACTTAGATGTATAAAACCTTATGTACCCCCACGCTGTAATACTAATGGAAAAAAGGGAGTGTTTCAGCTGGAAAAATACAATTTCCTTGGAATTTTAGAATGTGGTTATTTGGGAAAAACAACCATTTTCTTTTTTAAGATCATCATACGGTTTTCATGGGAACTCATTTTTTCATCAAACATTTAGTGCCCATACACCACAGGGCACAGAGCTGGGTGGGGAATAGGGATGAGCAGATGAATACGATGGTTCCTCTTCTACAGGAGTGGAGCTCCATTCTATCCCAGCATTCAGAACACTTATCACAGCTTTTAATTACCTTGTTCACTTGTTATATATTTTTGTCTCTCCACTAGACTGTAAGCTTCGTGAGGACATGTACCATGTCACGCTGTGCTCACTGGTGTGTCTCATCTAGCATATGCTGGGGACTCAGTACTGCTGTTTCAGTGGATACTAAGATACATGTAAACACAAACAGTTCAAGTATAAAATATGGGATGGCACAATTGTACCCAAAATTGGGTAGAGAAAAAAGTTATAATTTATTGTTGCTAGGGTGAATTTTTAAAAATGTTTTTCAAAAGTAAAAGAGGCTCATTGCAAAAAATTTAGGAAATTTACACATACAAAATGAATTTAAAAAACCACCTTTAATACTGCTCCTCAGAGAGAATCCCTGTTAACATTTTAGGCTTAATCTTTCCAGATCTGTCTGTCTGTTCAAATGTATATATGTGTATATTTACAAAATAAATATATAAGCTATTTACTTGGGCACGGAGAAGTCCTTCTGTCATGGCTGGATTTTCAGACAAATTCAAAAGCAGTTTCAAAACTTGCACCTGAAAGAAGATGATACTGGCTTATCTCAGACTGGCAAGCATGAATTTTCTCTCTCAGGCATGCTGTTCTCTCACCATGTCTTCCTGTTAAAGTCCTGCCTAAGCTTCCAGGCCTGGCTCAAATTCTCTCTACTCCAGGAAACCTTCTCCGTTCATTCTACTTTAAAGGTCTCATTCTGAACTCTTATAACACTTGGCAGCACTCTTAGAGAACCTATCATAGAACAGTGTTATTTAAACCTCATTTTTCCAATTACATCGTTAGGGAGATAGAGAGAATATTGCAAATGTCTTGTACCACTCTTAGAGAACTTATCACAGAGATACAGGTTTTCTATCACACGGTTATTTAAACCTAATTTTTCCCAATTATAATGTCAGGGAGATAGAATATTGCAAATGTCTTCACAATCTACCCCCAATTCACATGCACATCTGAACAGTTGGTAAGCTTAACATCTGTTAAATACACGATCTTCATTATGATTACTGGTAAGTGAAGTATGGCCAGGCATGATGGTGTCGGCCTGTAGTCCTAGGTACTTGGGAAGCTGAGCGGGGGAGGATCTCTTGAGCCTTCCCATCTCAAGGATGTTCAAGTTCAAGGATGTAGTAAGCTATGATTGTGCCTGTGAACAGCCACTGCACTCCAGCCTGGGCAATATAGTGAGACCCTTAGACCCCATCTTCACCCCCGACAAAAAAGAAATAAAGAAATATAATCTTTAAAACAACAACAAAAAAATCTCTCAAAGCTCAGCTCATTTCTACTTAAACAGTAAAAATTTTGGAACTGTTTGGTTACCAAGACTAAATAAATAACAATATGGCCCCTTTTGGTAAGCTACCATGAATTTTTGAGGTTATCTTTTAATGTGAAAGTGTTTTACAATCATATAAATAAGCACAGTGATAAAAACTGATAGATCGGTTGATTGATTGAGATGGGGGTCTCACTATATTGCTGAAGCTGGTCTTGAACTCCTGGCCTCAAGCAATCCTCTCACTTTGGCCTCCCAAAGTAACTAGGATTACAGGCAATGAGCCACCATGCCCAGCAATGATATAAATAATAAGCAAATAAATGTTATCTAATGGGTGACTAGCTAAAATATCAGCATTCTTATCACTTATAACTGAAAAGTCAGTAATAACAAGACTCAAATAGAATGCCTCTTTTTAATTTATTAATTATTATTCTTAAGTTTTAGGGTACATGTGCACAATGTGCAGGTTAGTTACATATGTATACTTGTGCCATGCTGGTGCACTGCACCCACTAACTCGTCATCTAGCATTAGGTATATCTCCCAATGCTATCCCTCCCCCCTCCCCCCACCCCACAACAGTCCCCAGAGTGTGATGTTCCCCTTCCTGTGTCCATGTGTTCTCATTGTTCAATTCCCACCTATGAGTGAGAATATACAGTGTTTGGTTTTTTGTTCTTGCGATAGTTTACTGAGAATGATGATTTCCAATTTTGTCCATGTCCCTACAAAGGACATGAACTCATCATTTTTTATGGCTGCATAGTATTCCATGGTGTATATGTGCCACATTTTCTTAATCCAGTCTATCATTGTTGGACATTCGGGTTGGTTCCAAGTCTTTTAAAAACAAAGGCCATGTGAAACCATACTTTCTACAAGATACCTGGAACTAAAATAAGCATAGAGGGGGGTACTAACTCAGGGAAATGGGACAAATGTGCTCTTCACTAGAGCTGGGAAGGAACCTGGATATTATTTTAGAAAAATTTTTTATTACAAAGGCAACAGATGTTTACCATAGCACTTTCAAAAAAATAGAAAACCACAAAGAAAAAGAAAATTTACCCGTATTTACATAACCAGAAATGATCACGATTAAGTGTTGGTATTTTTGGCCAGGTGCGGTGGCGCATGCCTGCATTCCCAGCACTTTGGGAGGCCAAGGTGGGCAGATCACTTGAGCTCAGGAGTTCAAGAGCAACATGGGCAACATGGCAAAACCCCGTCTCTACCAAAAATACAAAAATCAGCCAGGCGTGGTGGCATGTGACCAAAGTCCCAGGGAGGCTGAGGTAGGAGGATTGTTTGAGCCTGGAAGCTCAAGGCTGCAGTGAGCAGAGATCATGCCACTGCAATCTAGCCTGGGCAACAGAGTGAGATTCTGTGTCAAAAAAGAGAAAGAAAAGTTTTAGTATTTTCTTTTTGGTCTTTTATGCAAATATCCTGTATAGTCACAATTTCTTTGATCATGTTGTAGATACTAATTTATTTGAGGATGACATAATACTTTGCTTAATTTTACTGTTTTTATCAAATATTTCTTTATTTTTAGAAAATTACTACTTGGTCATGATAAAAATTTTAAGTAATGCAAAAGAGAACAAGGTAAAAACAAAAGCCACCATGCTTTTGGCCCCTTCCAATCCTCAGCAGTGTCCACTGGTAACATTTCTTGAATATGCAGAGATTGTCTTTTTCAAAGAGATGCTATTAATAAATTAAGGCCTCTGGGGTTGAAAGAGTAAAGGAGACTTCTGACCCTTCTTTAGTGCACTCCGTGGAGGTCACTATCAGATCTCATCTGGCCTGACTGACTATCAGCAACACTAGGAATAAGTGTTAGGAAAAAAACACCTGGCTCCAATGTCAATGAAGTTTCAATTAGAAAAATAGGAACAGGAGGTATGAAATAGGATGGTCCTGAACTTACGAAATAAGCCTGGATGAAGTCAAAATCTAAGACCCACTAATAGTCAATGAGGGCAGGTATACAACCAGGGAATAGCAACAGCAATAGCTATTTGGTATCCTGTATTAAAATCTGATGTTGCTATTCTTTGTAGAAGGGAGTTAAATATGAGAAAAAAATATATATACAGTTAGAGTACAACTACAGATTAAACAAATATATGGATTTTGGTTTGAAACCATATTAAGACATGTTTTTTTTCCTCGTCACATGCACCATCTTGTGGTGACACTAGGACATTTTAAACCATTAGTTTTGTTTTCATTGAGGATGTAACAAGCACACAGTTTATGTTAATCCTCCACTATCTGCATTAAGTTATCAATCAGTGGTGTACCCAAACGGTTATTACAGTACAGTGAGATCCCTGACTTAAGCAAAATACGATATTTAAACATTCATTTTAGTGGTTATTTACTAAGAAAATACCTAAATCAGACACACTTTCCCACTAACAAATGGATGGCTATCCAAAAGTTCATTTGCAAGTTGGAACTTTAAACTCAATTTTTATGGAAAATCAATGTTGTAATTGGTAGGTATGTTCCAAGGCAGACCAAGAAAGCAAATTTTCTATCCTAGAAATACTGTACTAAGCAATGTAATGGAAAAACACAACACAACAAAACAAAAATAGAACATACTATTGTGGTCTGGGTCATCTTTTAAAAAGTCAAAAAATATATGAAAACACAGACGATGTCTGAGACAGATATATACAGCCCCAAGGCCAGACTTGCCTGGCTGAACTCAGCCTGGCTCTGGACTCAGAGTTCCTCCTGAGGTTCTGGGTAAAGCAGCTGCAGAGTCAGGCAGAGGAGAGATTTCTCCTACAGTGGCAACAACATACAGTAAAGAGGGAAGGAGTTTCCCCAGGGGTTCAGGGGCTGGAAGTTATCTTGTTCCACTGGAGACAGACATGCTGATGCACGTTGGAAACTGCCTGGGAATGGTGCAATATTGCTAGAAGACTACTCTTACATTTAATTTTCAATACCTTTTGGTACATCTTGGATCACATCCAAACAAGTTTGGCTATTGGAAAAGAGGAAAGTCCATGTACAAACACCTTGGAAACATAAAAGCAGGACTACAGTAAGACTCTCCTGTAATCACATCTTGATAAACTCAAAAATAACTGCAGTGATGTTGAATATTTGGAGTATGGCTTCACATTTGGTCTTTCTAAAATGCTTATGCATTTGTCTCTCAACTGTTCCAGAGAACACAGACTAACATGGTAAAAAGCCTTGATGAACAATCAACCCGACTTATCAGAACTTTTAATTAGCCTACAATCTATTTTTATGCTACTTTTTCTTGAAAAATGGCAATTGATAAGAATGCACACTAATATGAGAGATTTACTTAAGAAACTTTTTATAGGGCATCTCCTAAGGTCCTACTTAATTCAGCTCAATATCTGTTGCCTCTTATATCAACCTAACTGGACAGAGTGAAGCACTGAGACATCTTTCATATATTCAATTCACTTCATTTACTACAGCTTAAAAGTTGTTTTAGAAATATTTTTCAACAAATAACTGAATCAAAAAAATGATTTGTTAACCCTGAGGTAAGCAAAATATTCAACTAACCACTACTATTACTCAGACTCCTTTTAATCACAATGTTCCTATATTTGGTGGGGGGAAGCTAGCTTCTCAGAAAACCAAATGAACAGGAATCTGTTGATAAGTGAAACAACAGATGGTTTTCAAAAGTTAATTTTGCAATGGAATATTTGGGACTAAAAATAATATACTTTCTTGGGCCCATGTGAGTTTTTAATAAATCTTCCTCTTTGAGGCACATCAACTTAAGATAGGTGGCCTGCAAATACTATTTCAATGTTAATAAGCTTGACACAATAGCTCTTCATACCTTCGTGTTTCCATTTCCAGTAAGTAACACCTGGAACAGGTCTGTAATGTAACTGTGAAGCATGTGCTGGTGGTCATTGGTAACAGTCATGTTTGTCAACAATGTCAGTCCAGCCAGCTGCACAGCAGAGTTCAGAGGACCAGAGAAGACATCCTCACATACTTGACTGATGTATATCTGAAGGCAGGGGAGGAAAATGAGCATCTTAGAATCTCCAAAATTTTTCTACTGAACAGCCACTTTTCTGCACAGTGGAGTAGGGCTACTGCTCAGGATGGAACCGACTCCTCAAAAAATACGACTTTTTTTTTTTTTTTTTTTTTGAGACGGAGTCTCGCTGTCTCCCAGGCTGGAGTTCAGTGGCGCAATCTCAGCTTACTGCAAGCTCCGCCTCCTGGGTTCACGCCATTCTCCTGCCTCAGCCTCCAGAGTAGCTGGGACTACAGGCGCCCGCCACCACGCCCGGCTAATTTTTTTGTATTTTTAGTAGAGACGGGGTTTCACCATGTTAGCCACGATGGTCTCGATCTCCTGACCTCGCGATCCGCCCGCCTCGGCCTCCCAAAATTCTGGGATTACAGGCGTGAGCCACTGTGCCCGGCCAAAATATGAAATTTCTATCTGGCCCTCAAAAGTTGTTGACTTTTTAAAAGCTTCCTTTGGTAATTCCAGGCACAGTGCTTAGCATTTTACAAATACTCCTCACTTAATCCTGAAGACAACTCTAATGAGTTGGGTGTTGTACTATTACGGCTATCTTGCAGACAAGGACTTTTAAGTCTTTAAAGAGCTCGGGTCCCCTGCCCAATGTCAGACAGCAGGTGGGGATGCAATAGCCAAGCCCAGAGATCATGCTGTTAACACCAGTGGCTTCTCCCTGGTTGGAGGCCTCCCATCTTAGTCCACCTTTCGGTTTCAACTGGTCTGCGGTCTGCGCACACTGGGATCAGGGAAGAAGATGTGAGGCCATTTTGTATCATAGTAATAAGTACCTTAGCAGTAGGGTCTAGAGAGCTACATCATTTCAGAAGTAAAGAATGGGAGGATAATGTGAAACAGAATCTTTCCCTAGAATTAATCCTATCAAAAGTAAGCAGAACAAAATTATACTTGGCCTAAGGTTCTTATTTACCTAGGTGTGTATATATATATATATATATATATAATTCACCCCTTCATAATATTGTTAACTATCACTGGTAAAAAGTAATGCAATGCTGTAGTACTCTTGTATCATACATGACACAACTAAACTCAGTGTGATGGAAACTTTTCTGAAACTCTACTTTCTGTGTCTGGCCATGAGCTTTCTTTTTTTCCGGGGGGACAAGGTCTCACTGCCGCACAGGCTGCAATGCCACCATGCCCAGCTAATTTTTGTATTCTTTGTAGAGACAGGGTTTCACCATGTTGCCCAGGCTGGTCTCAAACTCTTGAGCTCAAGTGATCTGCCTGCCTCAGCCTCCCAAAGTGCTGAGATTACAGGTGTGCACCACCATGTCCGGCCTGGCCATAAGCTTTCTAGCTTACAAAAATTATGTTTTACAGATAACTACTAATCACTTAAGCAAATCTGAACTCCACCAAAAGTTCTAACTGCTAAGAAAATTTTCCTAATTTGAAGTGGTAAGTTACCAATTGTCCCATAAACAATTATTAATTTAAAAAAAATCCCAAATGTATCCATGTTACCATAGAAACTAAATGGCAGTAAAGCAATGAGAGATTAAACTTTTAATCTGGTTTCAAGATCTAAATTACATTTATTTTTAGAGACAGGGTCTCACTCTGTCACCTAGGCTGGAGTGCAGTGGTGTGATAACAGCTCACTGCAGCCTCAAATTCCCCCTGTCTCAGACTCCTGAGTAGCTGGGATTACAGATGCATGCCACTATGCCCAGCTAATAAATTTTTTTTTTTTTTTTAGAAATGGGTTCTCACCCAAACTGGTCAACACGGTGAGACCCCATATCTATTAAAAATACAAAAAATTGCAAGCGTGGTGGTGGGCACCTGTAATCCCAGCTACTCAGGATGCTGAGGCAGGAGAATTGCTTGAACAGGAGGCAGGGGTTGCAGTGAGCTGAGGTTGCACCACTGCACTCCAGCATGGGCAACAAGAGTGAGACTCCGTCTCAAAACAAAAACAAACAAAAATAAAGAAATGGGGTCTCACTATGTTGCCCAGACTGGTCTTGAACTCTTGGCCTCCAGCAATCTCCTGTCGTGGCTCCCAAGTGTTGGGATTACAGGTGTGAGCCACCACGCCTGGCCCTAATTTACATTTGAAAGTCAACTGGTTCTCTTTGGTTACAATTTAATTATACATCCATCCTTTAAAAACATGGCATTTATTTAGCTCTTTATAAATCATATACTTCTGTAAGATGCTGATGTCTTTCAAGGCATTTCCTAAAATGTGTGGACTGTTTACATCCTTATTATATCTGAATCTTTTTACCATTTCAATTATAATAACAAGATTACCAAATGGACCAGCTTAGTTATTCCTGCAGCTGTGTCCACCTCATCTTGTTCTGTTCTCTTGGAATTCTCTCCTTCCCCAACTCTACCTGTAGGGTAACATTCTCAAGAGCCAGGTCAGACTCCACCTCTTACAGAAACTTTTGGATGAAATCTCTCCTTTCTATGTACTCAATCATGTTTTACTTACATTTTTCTTTAAAGGACTTCATTATGTTCTGCCTTGACTTACAATTATTTAAGGACTTGCCTTATCCTTCCTTCCACCTTTCTTAGAACAAGAGTTGCATCATGCTCATTTGTATACTCTGCACCACAAAGCAGGAGGTTTGATAAATATTGAATTGAAATAACATAATTTCCTAATATTGCATTTTTCTGCTGACATTATCTGACCCTGGCCTGGTTCCTTTAGCACCCTTAGATTAAACTGAACCCCAACTCCAAAAGTCTTGTTGGCTGCAAAAGTTAGAAGCAGCCTGGCCAGCCTCCTTCAGTGGAATATGAAGGAGCCCTTGCAGATTTTGATTCCCACTCTAGAGCTTTTATCTAGATGACCATGGCAACTGAACAAAAGCTGGTGAGAGCTGTTAGAGTGTTTGAATTTGGTAGACCAGAAGTCCTGAAACTCAGTCAGATGTTGCAGTACCAGTTCCAAAAGACCATTAGTTGTAATCAAGGTTCATGCGTGTGGTGTCAACCCCATGGAGACATACATTTACTCTGGTATTTATAATAGAAAACCACCTTATTCTATGCTCAGATGTAACTGGGGTAACGGAAGCTGTTGGAGGGAATGCATCTACTTTCAAGAAAAGTGACAGTTTTCACTACCGGCACAATCTCTGGGAGCAGATTACGCTGTTTACAAACTGCCTGAAAAACTGGACTTTAAACAAAATGCTGCCATTGGTATCCCATATCTTACTGCATATCGAGCTCTGATTCACAGTGTCTGTATGAAAGCTGGAGAGTGTTCTGGTTCATGGGGCTAGTGGAGGAGCTGCAGTAGCAACATGCCAAATTGCTAGAGTTTATGTCTTAAAGGTTTTGGGCACAGTTGGTACTGAGGGACAAAAAGACTTTTGCAAAATGGAGCCCACAAAGTGTTTAATTACAAAGAAGTTAACTATGTTGATAAAATTAAGAAATGTGTGATAAGAAAGGAATTGATGTGATTATTGAAATAATAGCTAATATAAATCTTAGTAAATATGCGAATTGTTTGTCATATGGAAGATAAGTAATAGGTGTTGGCAACAGTGGTACCATTGAAATAAACCCATGGGACACTATGGCAAAAGAGTCTAGTAAAATTGTCGTTACTCTATTTTCCTCAACCAAGGAGGAATCTCAGCAATTTGCAGCAGCCTGTCAAGCTGGAATGGAAATTGGTTGGCTGAAACCTGTAATAAGTTCTCACTATATGTTGGAGAGGTGGCCCAGGCTCATGAAAATATCTCTCACGGCAATGGGGCTACTGTAAAAATGATTCTTCTCTTTTGATGATTAATTCTTTCATGGATTTCAGAGGTTGTCTTTTGCCCAGTTTTACTTACACAATCTTTTGTTTAATTAACATTCATTTGATCCAGTGAGTTTCTTATGGGAAAAAAGTAAGATTTTTCTTTGGAGAACTAAGCAAGTAGAGTAAAATTTATTTTATGGCTGGCAATATTTTTTTTTACCTTCTATTTCAAATCAGGAAATCTTCATAGTACAAAATAGCATGCTAGTGGTCTTCTGGCATTGGAGTGCATTCCAGAAATTCTTAACTGATACTTGATTAATTCTATACCTTTGATTAAAACATGCTAATTCAAAATAAGCGTTCTCAATTTCCAAGGACTTCCAATCCTACTTACTTTCATAAAGGTTCTTTAGTCTCTGATTAGCCATAACTGTATTGGACTCTAAAGATTTTCTGGACTAAAAAAAGACCCCTATTCCAAACTAATCTCATCTGGATCTATACGTCTTGTGGAAGGGCAAGAACACATAATTTCCAGGGCACTTTGCTAGTTTTCCAATATTTCTCCAAATATTAGAATATCCACTTCATTGGATATTCTAATTGATTGTCAATGACCCCATATATTCTGTGAGGACAGCAGCCTTATCTTTGGTATGACACTTGGTACATAGCCTCCAAACTGGTAATACTTCTTGACTGATCAGATTTTCAAAGTAGATTTAGAGTTACCTGTTTGTGTGATGGGGGTCATATATTTTTATTGAAATTAATAAGCTCACCAATTTGATACATTAAGAATGGTCTGCTTTTGCTTCATAGCATAGTAATCTGTAATTCTGTAGAAAATTAAATTTTCTAGTCTATATAGTACTTGCCTCTCATCACTTCTGCATAGCTCCTCACAGTTACTGCTTAACAGTGTTTTGGGCTGGAAGTCTTTATCTAAACTAAATACAGAGATTACCTCTTACAAATCTTGCCATCAACATTATATTCAAGGAAATAAAGTTTGGTTATTTGTTGTTTTTTTCTTCATAGGAGCACATCCTCCTGTCTCTTGTTTCGTGATTGTCTTGACCTGATTTGTTCTGTTGAATGACAATTTCTAGTTTGAACATGGGAGTCCTGTTTCAATAATAAACATAAAACACTGCTCTTTTCTATAACCAAGGGGTATCACTGGGTTCTGGCTATATATGCCATGGCTGAAGTGTTTTAACTGTTGGCATTTACCAAGTTAACTATTTTTTTTACAGGTTAACTGCCTCATAAATAACATTTTTGAAAAAGCATTAAAGCAATGTCAGTAACGTAGGTTAGCATTTTATGTGCATCCTAAAATGGAGGATTTCTCCCCATACAACAAGATAAAGGAACAGTTATTCTGTAAAAGTCAGTTTAATCTATTTGCACATTTGCCTCATCCATTGAAAGAGCTAAAGCATACAGTGACTTAACACTTTGCAATACACTCATACAGTACACTTAATTTCAAAGGCAAAACTAGCCAAACTGTATGCATTAACAACCATATTTATGAATATGTAGCATCGGATATGCTCCCTGAATGAATCTCTTGTAATACTAGTTCTAGTTCTAGCGCAAAGTCTTGTCCCAACTTTCAGCCAACTATATTCACTATTTGGTTGGTGCCTATAGCCTTAAGGCTATTACTGTCACCAGTGCCTGTCCCTGATGTAGAGGATAACCTGTAGAATAAACAAGCATTATTTTACTGAAACAAAAGTCTTATTGTACCTCTTATTGGCTAGTTCAGGTCCCTCCCTCTTCTGTCTTATTCTCCATTCCTCTAAAGGTAATCCTTGGCTGTAAAATTACAAAGGATAGTCTACTAAAGTTTCATTACTCATCTTTTTGTTATTTTTTATTTATAGAAAACCTTATACATTTGTGATTTTCAGTCAACTTACCTTTATCTTGATTTGATTTTCAACATTCACACTCAGGTTATTTAGTGCATTTAAAGCTTTCTCTTTAATACTCTGGTTGGAATGGTTGATTTTGTTTGCAACAATTGGAATACCACCCAATTCACGAATAATAGCCTACGAGGGGAAAAAAAAAAAAAAAGCAGGACTGGGACTTCAGTATGCATCTCCGTTCACTGAATTC